>NC_000022.11:34921685-35073200 GCF_000001405.40 Homo sapiens | reverse complement strand
GCCCAGCTTGGTGACTCATTTCTAATGAATGAAATGCAGTGAAAGTGATGTGATGTAATTTCTCAGGCTAAGTCCTAAAAGGAAGCTGCTTCCACTTGGCTGTCCCTCGAGGACTGTTTACTTTGAGAAAGGCTATCTGTCATTTTGTGAGGACACTCAAGCAGCATGTGGAGGGCCCTATATAGGGAAGAACTGGGTCCTCCCACCAGTGGCTGTTACCAGCTCACTAGCCATGCAAGTGAACCACCGTGGACATAAATCTTTTATTCCAGTCCAGCCTCCAGACGACTGCAACCCCAAATAACATCATTACTGCAATCTTATGAGGGACCCTGAGCCAGAACCACCCAGTTAAGTTACTCCCAAATTCCTGATCCACAAAACTGAGTGAGATAATAAATATTTATTATTTTAAGCCACTAAGTTTTGGGATGATTTGTTGTGCAATAGGTATGCCTGGCACGCAGTAGATATTCAGTGGCTATTTGTTGCCTGTCTGGATAAATAATACAGTGGATAAATCAAACTTAAATTATAGCCAATGTTTTAAGCCTCCTCCTCTGCCCATTTGGATTTCTCCTAGCTCTGACATTCTGGGCCCTATGATTGTAGTTGATGTTGTCAGTGGCTGGCTTGTATCACCCAGACCTTTCCATGCTCCATATCTACTTCTTACTGCCAGGGTTTGTCTTTAGGGATCAAATCTTTGGATAATTCTAGGGAGTATGTTTGCTCCATTTCCCAAAGGATTTGAGCTTCAGTTACTCATAGGGGCCACTGGTTTAATAACACATGCTTTATTCATTGCCTCCCCTTCCTTGTATTATTCCACTACTTCCTTGCATGTCCCATATCAACTACTTGTGCTCAGATCCTTTCTTTAGGGTCTGCTTTTTTGGGGGACCCCACACTAATACCGTGCTCTTTTTTGCAGGTAGGGGCCATGCCTTGTACTTTCTTGTGCTCCCACAGGGCCTGAGACTGAGCCAGGTTCTCAATTCTAGAACCAGTCTCCAGGTATCCCTGTAGGAAGGTCCCCATAGCTCTGGTGCCAGGAACTAAGAGATGGAGTCCATTGGAGGAAGACCAAAGCACACTTCTCTTGAGGAAGTGCCTGTTTTTAACTCCACATCCTTTTGCCCTGTTCTCGTCTGCTCTGATGGGAGCTCCTGGGTCTACCTGGGTAAGAGCCAGAGCTGTTAATCACCAGGTGATGAGATACACACAGGCCTTAGTCACAGCCTCAAACCAGGGCTGCCTCTCCCAGTTCCCATAGCAGAGCAGCTGTCTTTGATTTCAGGTAGTTCAGGGGAGGAGGAGGGCTACGGAAAGGAGGGAGAAGTGAGGGAGGAGGAGAGGAGAAAGAAGTGAGGAACAGGGAAGGAAAAGGACCCTCTCTCCAGAGGCGCCTGACCCAGGGTACCTCTCCCTTTCTTGTGGGGTCCTTTCTGCTGCTTCTCCCAGTCTCCTGAGATAGCACTGAAGAGGCCCTTTCTCTCCGACTGGGAGCTGACAGTTGTTGATCTGTCTTTGCCAGGAATTTTGCTCCAAATAGTCTTTGTAGATATAATTAAGGCTCTGGGCATAAGATCATTGCTGATTTAGGGTGGGCCCTAAATCCAATGACAGGTGTCCTTATAAGAGAAAGGGACATTACACACAAACACACACGGCAAGGCTGTGAGAAGATGGAGGCAAAGTGGAGTGATGCGTCTACAAGTCAAAGAAGAATAAGGGTTGCTGGAACCACCAGAAACTACGAGAGAGGCATGGATCAGATTTTCCCTTGGAGCCTCCAGAAGGAGCTATCTCTGCCAATACCTGGATTTCAGACTTCTGGCTTTCTGAATGGTAGGAGAATACATTTCTGTGTTTTAAGCCACTCAGGTTGTGGTAATTTGTTACAACAGCCATAGAAAATTAATACAGGGAGGAAGAGGGGAAAGAAGAGGAAGAGGTGGCAGGAGGAGCAGTGGTTTCTAAATGGCAAAGACACCAAAGCATTTAAAGGGCAAGAAAGGTTTGGAATTTGGAGAGGAGCTGCCTGCACCTCGAAGGTAGACAGGGCCGGGGAGGGTGTGATGGGAGGTGAGCCTGGGATGAACAGGGCCAGTCTGGGAAGGACTTTGAGTGCCACACTAATGTGTCAGGGTCATGTCCTTGATGAACTGCAGCATGAGGGCCAAATCTGGCCTGACCCCTGTTTTTGTATATAAAGTTTTATTGGAACATAAGCCTACCCATTTATTTACACATTGTCTACAGATGAGTTTCAGCTGTGATAGAAGAGTTGCGTAATTGTGACAGAGACCATCTGACCATCAAAGCTTAAAATTACCATCTGTTCCTTTGCAGAAAAACATTGCTGTCCCTTGCTACAGGATGCTTCTCAAATGCCAAGAATTCTACCATGCCCCTGGCCAGCTCCATCAGACAAGATGGGCAGAAGGCAGCACTGCCCCAAGGTGGCACTGCCAGGGACTTCCATCCCCCTCCAGGTGAGTAGTCACTGCATCTTGTTTTATTCACCTTCACCTCCCCAGCCCCCAGCCTGGCCCAGAGTAAGCACTCAGTGATTAGTCACTGACTGAATGAATAGATGGTGAGCAGGCAAGGGAAGATACCTGGGTTCCCCACAGGCCAGGCAGTCCATACTGGTTTACCCACTGGGGTGGTCTGTCTTCCTTGTCAATTTTCTATCACCTTTCGCCTGGGGCCTATGATTTCCCCACAAAGGATTATCAGTGGTAGAGATGCAAAGATGGTCTCCCTCTCTCTCTTCCCAGGATCTGAGCTTTCAGTATAAAGAGGCTTCCTCCTGACTGGGTCTCCCTTAACTTTGGAGGGTCCTGAGTTTTGGAGGGCTTCCCTCTCCTTGGAGGAGAGAGCAGGAGGCTGGGTGTAGAATCTTTTCAGATAAAGAAGTCCTCTTGGATTTTCCCATTGACTTTTAAGACCTGGGAGGGTCCAACCTATAGATCATGAAGGTCCCTGCAGGAATGGGAAGATGTCAGGGGGGACCTTGGTCCCTACCATGAGAAATGAGGACAGTAGAGCACTACACTAGCCTTGGAGCCCAGATAACTAGCCTGGCCCCATCTCTTGCATGTACTGGCTCTGTAGCTTGGAAGAAACCACTTCACCTTATTGAGTCTCAGCTTCCTCTAAGGACCACTTCCTTGGGCCACCAACATCAGAATCATTTGGGAGAGCTTGTTAGAATGCAGATTCCTGGGCCTTTTCACTTAGAGTCAGAGTCTTGGTTGCTGGGCCTGACAGGCTGCATTTTAATAAGATCCCTAGGTGAGATGGCAAGGGTTGTCTGTGAGCCAGTCTAGGAAGCCTTTTAAATGTTAAGTGGAGACAAAGAGGAACTTATTCCTCTATCATTATTCTTGGGGCAGGAGAGGGTGTTGCTGTTTCTGCTCCTGTTGCTCTCTGCTGAGGGGTCCTGCACAAAAGGAGGGACGTAAAACAGGGAAGTAGAGAAGCATCAGCCAGCAGCAGTAAGCACAGGCCTGGGCATGAGGGCTCCTGTGAGGGTAGGGAGAGGCCTTCCAGTCTCTCTGCTCCTGCCCTGCCTGGGATCATGACCATCCTTTCCCCAGGGAGAAAGATTCTACAGTGGAAAATCACCACAAGGGAATCCTGCAAGGTTTTTCAGCAACTAATTTGTTGTTAAGTTGGTCATGGCATGTCAGAGCTGGGAGAGACCTTATGAATATTCTAGCCCTGCTCTTTCATGTTACAGGTGGGGAGATTGAGGCCAGAGAGGGAAGTGACTGGCTTGAGGTCCTCCCGTGCACTGGGGCCAGATCTGGGCTTAGAGGGTAGGTTTCCTGAAACCCTGCCCTTCTCACCCAGTGTGTTTCAGAGACTCCAGCTCATTTGCAATTTCTGCAGGTTTCTTTTATATAGTTTCTGGCAAGTTCATATCCCATCTGTATTATTTGTTTAGCATTTTCCCAAATAGACTTTTGTGTTTGACTCAAATAATAAATGTATTTTAAAATAATACCTTATATCATGATCATACACAGATAACAGTGTCTTTCATCATAAATACAAGGTTAGTATAAAAGTAATTACAGGACTATTGAGCTAGATCATCTTTATCTACATACCCACCAAGGTCATCTTGAGAGCCGCCAGTGGGACCCTCTCCAAGCTTTCAGAAATGCCGAATTCCAGCATAGTGGGAGACGGATGGATTTAAACTAAGTTCAGGAATAATCTAGAGTAGATGGTCTAAGGCCACCAGGGTTCAATTCTAGTGCTCATTACTCACATAGTTTTTGTGGGGGATTTATCTTCTCTTCTTGGTTTCATCATCTGTAAGTTGGGCTCCCAAGTGTGACAGTGAGATGGGAAAATGGCCACAAAAGTGCTGTGGAAGGAATATACCACCATCCGATGTCACCACCGCTAGTCTGGTCAGCACTTACTGGGGTCTGTTCTGGGACCAGATGGATAGCTGACACGGAACATGCCAGAATCTTCCGTGGAGGCCTAGAAAGAGTGGTTTCCTTTCTGAAGCCTGCCGTCATCGGGCTAGGGGAAGGGAAGCTTCTCTGGTAGGAAAAGCGAGACCTCTCTCTCATGACACAGGGTGATCATAGATTTGTACAACTGCAGGAGGAGAGACTCAGGACCCCAATGGAAATGTTCCTATGAATCTTTAATGGACTGGAAGATATTAATGAACTTCCAAAAATTAAGCTAGAGACCCTTTCCCTTTGGAAAACTCAGCTATAGGGAAACACACCAGGCTCCTTCCTGCCTGCAGACACACAGCCCTCCTGGTCTTCCTCATGCCTGCAGCTGAGTGCGACCCCTCATCAGCTCCCTCCATGGGAGACTTGCCTCGTTGGTGGGGATGTGGAGCTCTATTTATGGCAGGTAATGACATTAAGGGCTCCCTGAGCTTCCTTTCCAGCATTTTCTGGGATTAAAAGGGGTGAAAAGGGGAGAGAACTGAGAACCTCATGTGAGATATTCCAGGCTCAGTGACAGTCAGACTGACAAGGCCCTTGAGACATCGCCAGCTTCACCATTTCTTATTCCTTCACCCAGGTGTTTTGCTGAGAATAAACCTGAGGCTGCAGTGGACAGGGACTTTTCTGAGGTCACATAGCAGGCCAAGGTAGAGCTAAGACTCACATCCTGGGTTCCTGACTGTTAGCAGGTGTGTGCGTCCACACCAATGCCCCAGTGCGGCTTTCCTCCCTTCCTCAAGCCAGCTCTCGATCTACCTGGTCACTGTTATCTGGGGACATGCCTTGGGGTGGCCACTGGCTTGGGGAAGGTGATCAGGGTGGACAGACTTTTCCCAAGCCAAAGCTTCGGCCCCTGGGCAAAGCTTCAGCCCCTGGAAGTTGTGCAGACTGAACTTGGCTTATGAGGAGGAGACTGTGCTGGGCCCAGCAGGGATTTGGGGGAGTCAGAGCCAGGTCCTGATAGCGGGGCTTCTGTTTACCAGCTGTGTAACTTGGGGACATTATCCTCCTCTTCTCTTTCACAGATGAGTTTTCTTATCTGTCCAGTTATGATAATCATGCTTTTCTACTGAAATTAAAAGAGAATGCCTATGACATTGTCAATGCTGAATAAATGGTAACTAGCATTCTTAGCCGGGGCCTGGTTACAATAACAAGCCCCAGGTCCCTGCATTCTGCAACTAACTGAGCCTTGGTGTCTGAAGCTGAAAAGCACAGTTTTGGGTTAGATTGAAAGGTATATCAGGAAACCAGCCCAGAGCCAGGTCTTGCTCTGAATTTTAGAGTCCTCTATCCAGTTAATATGGACGGAGAAGCTTTTTCTCTGCCTGAGCCCAGCTGGGTCTTGGAGACCAGGAAACAGAAAGAAATGATCAGAAGACACTTACCCTGGGGCTGGTCCTTTGGAGGCTTTTCTAGCCCAGAGCCTGAGGCCGCAGCTTCTCCGGGGCCCTCTTCACCTGGCCCTTCTGGTCTGTCCATATCACTCCTCCTGGCAGGCCTCTTTAGGATCGCCTCAATGGAGAAGGACAGGCTCAGCTTCTTCGGGGCCTCACAGCACCCCAAGCTATTTCTCTCCATACCCCTGCAGAGAGCAGGGCCCACCTCAGCACACATTGAGGGGCTCAGGGGTGACTCTGTGTAGGCCAAGGAGGGTGCCAGTGGAGAGTGGCGTACTTCCTCCCCTGAACCTCCTGGGGTCAAGAGGGCGCGTGGAGGTGAAGAACAGAGAGCCTCCAGTTAGATGATCCAAACAGGATTTCGTGTCCACAGGGACTTCCATGGGCAGGTCACAGCAGAAGAGCTGGAAGGAGTGGTATCCTGTGCCCACGGCTCAGCCCTTACCAGTTTGACATCAAAGGAGTCACCATGGCTGAATTGGGGTTCAATCTTCCAGAGAAGGGTCTTCTCGGACACAGTTGCCTGCACAATCACCAGGTTAGGCCAGGATCCCTGAGGTCACCGCCCAGTGGCGAACAAAGAGAAGAGGGAGAAACAATAAGGCACAGGAAAGAGGAGGTCAGTCTCCAGAGGAGGTTTGGAGGCAGGGGTCCACCTTTGCCCTTTCTCTGGCTTCTGGCCCTTTCCTGTGGCTCTAGCCAGCCTTTAGGAGGAGGTTGGAGTGCCACCCTTGGCCTCAGGTGGCCAATTCAGTCCTGGGCTTTACTGCAGCTTGAGGGGTCTTCCCAGACACCCGTGTTTACTTCCTTCAGTTCTGCTGCTTCCAGACTCCAGAACGTACCTTCAGCGCATCAGTGCTCCTGCTGTCCTGCAGGTGGAGGCTGAGGAAAGGGGGTCCCTGGGTGCTGCCAGGCCTGTCTCTTCTCTGTGCCAGGGCTGGGCTGAGCTGTGGGTCTGATTCTTCTCAGGTGCCTCTGGGCTGGCCCTGGCTTTTTTTCTGTTCTATTTTCCCTGACGTCACTTTACATGCGAAGCCCTCTCTCCACAAGCGCCTGACCCAGGGTACCTCTCCCTTCCTTGTGGGGTCCTTTATGCTGTTTCTCCCAGTCTCCTGAGACAGACTGAAGAGGCCCTTTCTCTCTGACTGGGAGCTGACAGTTGTTGATCTGTCCTTGCCTGGAATTTTGCTCCAAATTACTGTGTAACCAAGGAGGAGGGGGCAGTAAAACAGGCTGATAAGAGAAAAACTCTCCACGCCCCTTAAGGCTGGGGATGCAGGTGTCAGGGTAGAAAAGTGGCAGGAGGCAGTGGGGATCTGAAGGACAGGTATTGGAGGCCCCAGGGAGGGGCTGTGCTGGGGAACTGGCCAGAGCAGGGGAAGGGAAGGTGGGAGCAGAATGGCCAGGAAGTGTACCCAGGCCCAATAAAACATGTTTACTCAGCCAGGAGAGCCTGTGGTCATGTGTGGGGGAGGCTGGGCTGAGGTGCAGTCTGCTGGCTGTCAGCCTTAGGCATTCATTTGCTCTCAGATGTGCTTTCCATGGCTTGCAAATATCAGATCAGGAAAAGCATTCCAGGGCTTTCTGATATGGGGAAACTGAGGTCCAGACCAAGGAGGTACAGAAAATGTGATGGCAGGGCCTGATCACAGTACTCCCCTGGGGATGTCCATGATGCCATGCTGGCCACAAGGAGCCAATTTGCACAGGAGGGATGGATACCCTGGCAGAGACTGTGAATGTAAATTTGGATGTTAGAATCTAGATCTTCTCATAGAGGGCAGGGGTGGGAGGTGAAGGATAGGGAACGTTGGTCTCCACTCCCTGAGAAGAGTGAGTCAGGAGAGAGAGGGACTCACCCTGAGAGAGGGAACAGGTAAAGATGCCCCATTTTAGGAGCTGTGCCCCTTGGAAGTGTCAGGCTGTCTGATTTAGTTAGGGGGGGAATAGGCTCTGCTGTAGTAGCAAGTAAACCCTATAGTCTTGGGAGCATAATAGCTCACCCACATCACATTCTAATGTAGTCATTTAGGGACCCAGATTCCTTTCAAACAGTGATGCCACCATTCTCCAATCATAGGCTCCAAGTTTTCTGGGGAAAGGGAGACAGCAAAGGAGAATTTTTTTTTTTTAATTTTAAGTTCTGGGATACATGTGCAGAATGTGCAGGTTTGTTACATAGGTATACATGTGCCTTGGTGCTTTGCTGTACCTATCACCCCATCATCTAGGTTTAAGTCCTGCGTGCATTAGGTATTTGTCCTAATGCTCTCCCTCCCCTTGCCCCCAACCCCTTGACTGGCCCCAGTGTGTATTTTCCCCCTCCCTGTGTCCATGTGTTCTCATTGTTCAACTCCCACCTATGAGTGAGAACATTCAGTATTTGGTTTTCTGTTGAAAGGAGAAATTTTGATGAGTCAGAAGTGGAAGTGGTTGATAGACCTTCTGCTCACATTCTGTGGCCAGAGGGAGTCACATGACCCTGCTTAGACCTATCCCTTTCCTAGGGCTGGACAGGGGAGTTTTCCTGCCAGGAGACAAATGAACCAGTTTGTTGACTTTTGCAGTGAAGAGGCCAGAGTCCCCTAGAAGTCAGGCCCACCATTGGTCCATGGAAGGGGTTGTTGGATGAGAGGACAAGGTTCCTTACACTCAGGGCAGAGGAAGCTCTGATGGGTACTTGAGATGCTTGGTCAAGAGCAAGGACAGGATCTTTGGGGGTGGAAGTGGCAGAGGCAAAAAGAGAGAGGCGATGGAGCCCTTTCTCTCTGCTGGACCTCGTGCCTGCAGCTGTGTGCTCACCGTTTCACTTAATCCATTCAACAGCCTGATCAATTAGGTGTCATTAATGCCATTTAACAGCTGAGGAGACATGCCCAGAGAAGTGGAGTGATAGGACAGCTAGCCACTAGAAGCAGCAAGATTCAAACTCAGGTGAGTCTGGCTCTGCACCTCACATCCCTCCCACTTTGCTGTAATACCCAGAGACCATCTGGCTCAGCCCTCTCATTTCACAGGTGAAGAACTGAGCAGCAGCGAGAGAAATTGCCAGAGTTACACCTGTTGTTTTCAGCACCTTGTTTGATTTCCTTTCATTTTGCCTCTTTCCAAGGTGTGACTGGCCCCTGGACAGGTTAACAGAACACCCTTCTGTGGTGTGGACCCGGACGCTTACTCCCCTCTCTCCCATGATTAGCCATAATCCTGACGTTACTGACTTCAATTCTTTTATCACTCACATGTATGCTCATTCCATGAATATTTCTTGAGCATCTACTATGTGCCAAACACTCTGGAGATGTAGATGAAAGAGATATGGCCCCTGCCCTGAGGGACTTACATTCTGGGGTGGGGGTGGGGTGGGGTGGGAGGAAGGGGGACATGGCTGCAGACGTACAGTGACACAAGGCAGGAAGTATCAATGGTCCGTGATGGAATCTTGTGGGTGGTCAGAGAAGTCAGAGATTGAGTGGCTGTTGGATTAATGAAAGTTTTGAAGAGGAGGAACAACAAAGGAAGGAGAGGGGCCATCATATATAAGTCCCTTTTCTGAATTGTCTTATTGAATCTACTGTAAAACTCACAAGCAAATAAACTCTGCTAAGGTAGATATCTTAGCCCTGTTTTACAGTGAAGCAACTAAGCTTCAGAGGCTTTAAGTAATGTGCCCAGGGTCCCACAGCTATGTAGTGGCACAGCTAGTGTTCCATGCTGAGTCAATTACCTTGATCTTTCTAGTGTCCCCTACTGACTCTCAGAAGCAGAATTTGAACTGGGCACCAAAGAATGAGTAGGTCATGTGGTGATAACTGTAGGAACAAAGACTTGGAGCAGGGACACATTGAGGCATGCATGGTTGATATGGTTTGGATCTGTTAACCTGTCCAGGGGCCAGTCACACCTTGGAAAGAGGCAAAATGAAAGGAAATCAAACAAGGTGCTGAAAACAACAGGTGTAACTCTGGCAATTTCTCTCGCTGCTGCTCAGTTCTTCACCTGTGAAATGAGAGGGCTGAGCCAGATGGTCTCTGGGTATTACAGCAAAGTGGGAGGGATGTGAGGTGCAGAGCCAGACTCACCTGGGTTTGAATCTTGCTGCTTCTAGTGGCTAGCTGTCCTATCACTCCACTTCTCTGGGCATGTCTCCTCAGCTGTTAAATGGCATTAATGACACCTAATTGATCAGGCTGTTGAATGGATTAAGTGAAACGGTGAGCACACAGCTGCAGGCACGAGGCCCAGCAGAGAGAAAGGGCTCCATCGCCTCTCTCTTTTTGCCTCTGCCACTTCCACCCCCAAATCTCATATTGAACTGTAATTCCCAATGTTGGAGGATTGGAGGTGGGGCCTGGTGGGAGGTGATTAGATCATGGGGGTATTTTCTAATGGTTTAACACCGTCCCCCTAGTGCTGTATTGTGAGAGAGTTCTATGAGATCTGTCTGTGTGTAGCACCTCCCCCTTCTCTCTCTCTCTCCTGCTCTGCAATGTGAAGATGTGCCTGCTTCCACTTTGCCTTCTGCCATGATTGTAAGTTTCCTGAGGCCTCCCCAACCATGCTTCCTGTACAGTATGTGGAACTGTGAGTCAATTAAACTTCTTTTCTTCACAAATTACCCAGTCTCAGGTAGTTCCTTATAGCAATGTGAGAACCGACTAATACAATGATGCACTGTTACCGGTTTCATGGATGAGAGAGGGGTTTCATTTTATGAAGAAGTATTTAGGAAGAGCATGTGGGAAAGGTGGATTGCGGCCTCCAATCATTTATGCATCCATAACATAATTTTGAAGCATCCACTGTGATGTGCTAGACCATGATCTTTATGCTAAGGAGACAGTTGTGGTTAAAAGAGGCAAGGTCTATATTCTCATGGAACTTACATTGAAAATAGATAATAAACAGATAATAAATTGATAGCACATAAATGCCCAATGTAATTTCCATTTGTGATGTTGAAAAATAAACTGCGGCGCAATACAATTTTAAAGTGTTTATTTGAACAAATAGCAATTCATGAATCAGGCAGCTCCAAAGCGGAAGTGGTTCAGGAGGTCTGTTGAAGACACAGGCTTTTATAGAGAGATGAAGAAGTGATACAAGGAAAATATTTGATTGGTTACAGTTATAAAGTTGCCTTATTTCATCTATTCCATTGAAAAGTCCCTAGTTATGTAAGTTTGTTGGTGGCTTCTTTTTGGTTGGACTTCGGTTCTGTTTTTCATTAATATAGGCATTCACAAGAAATAGCTTAAGTTTAGTTTTGCTTGTGTTTGTAAATCAAGCAATGATAAGGTCACTTATGAGGCCTAACTGGCTTTGTCTGCTCAGGTATTCTCCACTTTAATTTACTTTTGTAGTGACAATGTTATAAGTAAAACAAAATAATAAGCTAGAGAGAGGCCAGGTGAGAGAACACACTTGGATTTTTCCAGATATGAATTTTATCCCACAGGCAGTAAAAGAGCCATGGGCATTTTTGTGAGTGATGGCTCTACCATCAACCAAACTACAAGTTAAGGAGTCATTGGGAACCCAAGTAAAGTGGAGGCAAGTTATAGGCTGTGTGTGTTTGAGTATGGGAGGGAGTGTGGATCAGAATGATCTTGGCTGCAAGTGATCAAATACCCAACTTGAAGAGGCTTAAACAATGGGGGTTTGTTAATTCACATAATCACGTGTGTAGGTAGGAGGATGCAGAGTGGCTTAGTTCAGGCATGAAAACAATGTGAAGAACTAAGCACTTCCATCTTTCTTCTCTGTCATCCCCAGTGCATTGGTTTAATATATCCTATTTTCATTTTCTTATTATTTTTTAAAAATTATTTATTTTAAATGACAAATACAAATTTTATATATTTATCATGTACAATATGATGGTTTGAAATATGTATTCATTGTGGAGTGGCCAAATCAAGCTACTTAACATATGTATTACCTCATGTAATTATTGTGGTTTTTTTTTATGGTGAGAACACTTAAAATTTATTCTCAGCAATTTTTTGTTGAGTTGGAGTTTCACTCTTGTTGCCCAGGCTGGAGTGCAATGGTGCAATGTCAGCTAACCGCAACCTGTGCCTCCTGGGTTCAAGTGGTTCTCCTGCCTCAGCCTCCTGAGTAGCTGGGATTACAGGCATGCACCACCATGCCTGGATAATTTTGTATTTTTAGTAGATATGGGGTTTCTCCATGTTGGTCAGGCTGGTCTCAAACTCCCAACCTTAGGTGATCCACCCACCTTGGCCTCCCAAAGTGTTGGGATTACAGGTGTGAGCCACCATGCCCAGCCAGCAATTTTTAAGAATACAACACGTGGTTATTAACTATAGTCACCATGTGGTACAGCAGAGCTCTTGAATTCATTCCTCCTGTCTAACTGAAATTTTATATCCTTTGACTAACATCTGTCCAATTCCCCGTCCAGCCACACCCCCAGCCCCTGGCAATCACCGTTCTTCACTCTCCTTCTATAAGCTTGACTTTCTTAGATTCCACATATAAGTGAGATCATGAGGTATTTGTCATTTTGTGCTTGGCTTATTTCACTTGACATAACGTCATCCAGGTTCATCCTTGTTGTTGCAAATGATAGAATTTCCTTTTTTAAAAATGTGAATTTTAATTAATTTTTATTGATACATAATAGTCGTATGTATTTACAGCATGCATGTGATATTTTGATACATGCATACAATGCATAATAATAAAATCAGGGTAATTGGAATATACATCACCTCAAACATTTATCATTTCTTTGTGCTGAAAATATTCTAAATCTTCTTTTCTAGCTACTTTGAAATATGCAATAAATTCTTGTTAACTGTCATTGTCCCACTGGATTTCCTTCTTTTTCAAGGCTGAATAGTATTCTGTTGTGTATATATACACCACATTTTCTTTGTCTATCATCCATTGATGGACACCTGGTTGCTTGCAGATCTTAGCTATTGTGAATAGTGCTGCATCCATTGCACTGGTTTTATCTTTAAGCTTGCCTGACATGGCTGGTAGATAGTTGCTGCAGGTCCAGGCCTCACACAAACCTTTCCAAGGTGGGAGGATAAGACTTGCCTTTCTTCATTCTTTTTATTTATTTTTTTAACTTTTATTTTAGGTTTGGGGGTACATGTGCAGGTTTGTTATTAACAAATTAGTGAATTGTGTGTCATGGGGTTTGGTGTTCAGATTATTTTGTCACCCAGGTAATAAGCGTAGTACCCAATAGATAATTTTTCCATCCTCTCCCTCCTCCTACCCTCCACTCTCAAGCAGGCCCTGGTGTCTGTTGTTCCCTTCTTTGTGTCCATGTGTGCTCAGTGTTTAGCTCCCTCTCATAAGTGAGAACATGAGATATTAGGTTTTCTGTTCCTGTGTTACATTGCTTAGGATTGTGGCCTTCAGCTCTATCCATGTTGCTGCCAAAGGACATGATCGTCTTCCTTTTTTATGGCTGCATAGTATTCCATGCTGTGTATGCACCATCTTCTCTTTATCCAGTTTACTGTTGATGGGCATTTAGGTAGATTACTTGATGCTGCTGTTGTGAATAGTACTGTGATGAACATATGTGTGCATGCGTCTTCATGGTAGAATGATTTATATTCCTTTGGATCTATACCCAATAATAGGATTGCCGGATTGAATGTTACTTCTGTTTTAAGTTCTCTGAGAAATCTCCAAACTGCTCTCCACAATGGCTGAACTAATTTACATTCCCACCAGCTGTGTATAAGCATTCCCTTTTCTCGGCAGCCTTGCCAGCATCTGTTATTTTTTTTACTTTTTTTTTATAATGGCCATTCTGACTGGTGTGAGATGGTATCTTATTGTGGTTTTGATTTGCATTTCTCTAACAATTAGTGATGTTGAGCATTTTTTATATGTTTGTTGACCATGCGTATGTCTTCTTTTGAAACGTGTCTGTTCATGTCCTTTGCCCATTTTTTAATGGGGTTGTTTGTTTTTTGCTTATTAATTTGTTTAAATTCCTTATAGGTTCTGGATATTAGACCTTTGTGAGATGTATAGTTTGCAAATATTTTCTTCAATTCTGTAGATTTTCTGTTTACTCTGTTGATAGCCTCTTTTACTGTGTAGAAGCACTTGAGTTGAATTAGGTCCTATTTGTTAATTTTTGTTTTCCTTGCAATTGCTATTGGTGTCTTTGTCATGAAATCTTTGGCAGGGGTTATGTACAGAATGGTATTTCCTAGGTTATCTTCCAGGGTTTTTATAGTTTTAGGCTTTACATTTAAATCTTTAATCCATCTTAAGTTGATTTTTGTATATGGTGTAAGGAAAGGGTCCAGTTTCAATCTTCTACATATAGCTAATCAGTTATCCCAGTGATGGCAGTGGTGGCCTGTCTAGAGTGACCACTGCCATGATGCCGGCTGCAGTGGGAGAGGTGCAGCCAGGGCTGTGCACTCCATGGAGCCAGTGGGATTGGGAACAGGCAGCAGACCCTCCCCTTTCGGAGTTGGCAGGGTGGGAGCTTCGCATTCCCTGGACACAGCTGTGGCCACACAGCTCCAGCTGAAGACCCAGGCGTCCCTGTGCTTTTGGGAGGTAGTAGCAGGCACCTTCCCAGGCACAGCTTCAGCCACCCAAACTGCGGCTGTGGACCCAGGCATCTCTGCATTCTCAGGTCCCCCTGCCCCTGCAGGCTCAGAAATGTCTGCTCCCACTACCTGGCCTCTCTCCGCCCCCAGCACCTGCTCTGCAGGTTTGAAAATGCCTGCTTCCACTGCCTGGCCTCTCCCTGTTCCTGGTGCCTGCTCTAATCTCGGAGAAAAGTTGAGGACAAGCCAGGGTGCTGTCACAACCTGGCTGGGTATGTGCATGCTGGGGACAGTGCTGACATGCCAGCCCCCTGCCGCCTTGGCCTGCTCTAGATTTTGGGTGCTAATGAGCATGGGAGGGAAGCCGAGGAGGGTCTGAGGGTAGCTCAGTGCTGGCCTGCAGGCACCCCTCAGCACCAACAGCATGAGTGTCATGAACAGCAGCAGGAGGCAGACAGGCTTCTGAGCAGAAAGGGACGGGTCTCTGGTGAAGCCTCACCTTCAAGCTGAGGAAGCCCTGAAGCCTAGGGGCTGGGCTGCCAGCCCTATGAACCAGAGTGGGAACTTGTGCTTTTTCTGGGCCCACCCATGGACCAATCAGCACGTACTTCCTTCCCTTTGAAGCTCATAAAAACCCCAGACTCGGCCAGATTTAGAGAGAAGATGGGACAACCAGCTGCAAAGAGGAGCTACCCACCCCAAGGTCTCCTCTCTGCTGAGAGCTGAGATGATGGGACAACCAGCTTTAGAGAGGAGCTATCCACTCCAGGGTCTCCTCTCTGCTGACAGCTGAACAGTCATCAGAACATCCTGGCTGCAGAGAGGAGCTACCCACTGCAAGTCTCCTCTGAGCTACTCTATTGCTCAGTAAATCTCCTTTTTGCATTGCTCACCCTCCACTTTGCACATACCTCATTCTTTCTGGGCATGGGACAAGAACTCTGGACCTGCTGAATGGCAGGGCTGAAAGAACTGTAACACAAATGGGCTGAAACACGCCCCTTGCTCATCACGTTGCAGGTGACGAGGAGAGAAGAGCTGTGGACATTTGGGGAGCCTGGACCTAGATGCTCCCTGAGCCAGGGCTGTGACACCCTCTTTGGGGCTCTGAGGTTCCTGGTGTCTCCAAGCTTCTGGGTGCCACCACATTCCCCAGTGCCAGCTGTGAAAGCTGCTTGTGGGACACCTGGTCCAGCCACAGCCTTACAAGGAGCTGGCACCCATGCCAGCACCTAGAGCTGCTTGCCTTGCCACAGCCAGTGTGCCTGGCTGTGCACATGGGACACAACCCATGCTTACTTGCTCACACAGCCCTCACCACTCCACTTGTCCTTGGCAAGCATGGGATCTAGGCCAGTAGTGCAAACTTAGCACAACCTGCCAGGACAAGTGGGCCCAGTGGTTTCCAGCTGGCAAAGTGACACCCCAAGGATCCCGTAACACCATTTATTGAATAGGAAGTCCTTTACCCACTGCCTGTTTTGTTGGCTTTGTTGAAGATCAGATGGCTCTAGGAGTACAGTTTTATTTCTAGGCTCTCTATTCTATTCCATTGGTCTGTGGGTCTGTATTTGTACCAGTACCATGCTGTTTTGGCAACTGTAGCCTTGTAGTATAGTTTAAAGTTGGGTAGTGTGATGCCTCCAGCTTTGTTATTTTTGCTTAGAATTGCCTTGGCTATTTGAGCTCTCTTTTGATTCCATATGAATTTTAAAATAGTTTTTTTCTAATGCTGTGAAGAATGTCATTGGTAGTTTGATAGAAATAGCATTGAATCTGTAAATTGCTTTGGGTAGTATGGCCATTTTAATAATATTGATTCTTCCTATCCATGAGCATGAACTGTTTTTCATTTGTTTGTGTTATCTCTCATTTTTTTAAGCAGTGTTTTTAAATTCTCATTGTAGAGATCTTTCACCTCCATGGTTAGCTGTATTCCTAAGTATTTTATTCATTTTGTTCTCACTGTTTTTATCATAGAGAAAAACCTTTCCTAGAAGTCTTCTAACAAGTTCCCTTTATTTCCCATTGGCCAGGATTGTGTCACATGTCCCCACTTAAACCAGTTGCTGGCAGATATAATGCAATTACCATTACAAGTTGAATTACTCAGCATTTGCTCCCTTGGACTATGCAGTGGGACAGCTTTCCTTACCACTCTCTGGAGCTTAGTTCCTGGGAAAAATTGGGGTTTGTCAGCCAGAAGAAGACAGGTAATTGCTGTTTGGGGGGTGTGACCAATGGTATCTGCTTCAAGGTGCGTGTGACAGACAAAATGGTTTTTCTTGTCAGAAGATGGTGCCAGAAAAGGCATGTGACTGCATGTATGGGGCATTAGCACTTCCTGAGCAATGGGAGACATGGACTAATTACCTCCTGCAGTTCATGGGAGAAGGTAGAAAGGAAGAAGAGAAGGAAGGGAAAGCCGCTTCTTGAGTGTCTGCCCTCTGTTTATCCTACAGCATGCCTTCACATTTGTTTACAATTGGACTATGTCCTAAGCACGTTGTATTTTGGCATTTGACCCTTCTTGAGTGTCTGCCCTTTGTTTATCCTACAGCATGCCTTCACATTTGTTTACAGTTGGGCTATGTCCTAAGCCCATTGTATTATGGCATTTGACACACAGCTTCCATTGGAAGTGGGAGTTATAATCCCTGTTGCACAGTTAAAGAAACTGAAGCCCACTGAGGCAAGTGACTCACTCAAAGTCTCTCCATTATCTCCTAGCAGGAGGCAGAGTCCCAGCTTTAACCCAATCTTTCTATCGCCCAATCTCAAGTTGTTTCCACCACTCCACAACTCTTTTCTGAATTATTTTTCCGTCCTAAGTTTTAAGAAAGAGCTTTCAAAGAAACATCTCTGTGAAGATCTCACTGGGTTGGTTGTTGAGAGATTTGAGGCCTGTAGGGTTACTACTCTCTACTACTTCCCTCTAGAACATTTTTTCCAGGGACTGACCCTCTGTGTGTATCTGAGATTATGTGATACTGTCTTCCTGAGCAGAAGAGGGCTAGGTCATATGTGCTGAAGGATCAGGGACAATGAAAGGAAGATAGCCTATCATGGGGATGATCTGGTGAGAGCATCAGTAGTTCTCAGTGGACCCTTAGTCCTTGTATTATTTATTTGCCCTTGAGATCTGCATTTGACATGGCTTCCTAGGGAAACCAAGATACTTTAGTCTGTCATTCTGAGCTCATGTTTGACTGATTCTTTTTCACCCCAGATTTTGTTGAGAACATTTGAAGCCTGCCGAGTTCTAAGCCCCCTTGCTTGGGAAAGAGATCTGGTTCCTCCCTGCAGGCTGGGCAGATCCTGGAGAGAGTTACAATGCTCAGAGCACAACATAGAACATAGAACAAAACCCTTTCAGGGTTTAGCAACCAGAGAGTCTGGACTTGACTCAAAGTGGACTCACATCCCTCTGGGTGGTTATGTTCAGGCTGCTTGGACCTTGAGTTGTGTATGATGGTTAAAAGCCTCCATTTATATCACATATTTCAAGTTAGTCATAATAATGTCTGAAGAACAGAATGTCAGGGTTGGCGTAGGATTTTCAGGGTCCCATTTAAACTGCTCTGGAGTAGAACTAATTTACCATAGATCATCTCCTTATGAACAGATGTGTCAAGCTGAGTAGACAAACTTTCACCAATGGATTTATAAAGCACTAAGCATTAGCACATGGCATGAATCTGGGGAAATTATCCGCTCAACCCTTCATTCAGCAAACATTCTTTTGGTGCCTACTATGTGTCAGACACTACACTAAGTAGGAGAGATATATTGAACCAGACCGACATGGCTCCTGATGTGGTCATAGATCAGAGAGGACACTAATGATAAACAAATAGAGAAGTGATAAAATAGTTACAAACTATGGTAAGTAGTTTGAAGGAGTCAGTGCTGTAAATTGTATTACAGTTAGCCTTTCTTATTTATTACTAAATTTAGGATGGTGATTTTCACCCACAGACAGAGTGATAATATGTCTCCCATCTTAACCCTTGGTATTGCCATGCTTAAGGCTATTAATTCATGGTTGCATCTCAAAAGATGGGGCTGTTGAGAAAAGGGGAATGGAACTTGCAAATTGCTGAAAATTGCTTTTTTGAGAAACTCTTGAAATGCTGAGAGACACCTTGGGTACACTCCATTACCACTGTTGATGGGGTTGTCGGAAAATTAAAACTGGCTTTTAGTTCATTTTAATTTGAGTAGCTGTGGATTTTGTCCTTCATTCTTGGTTTGATAAATAATGTCAGAAAAAAACCCAAAACAAATGAATAAAGAAGTAAAACAATTCTTAAACTGCGGCCACTGTTAGCTGTGTGAAAAGGGGTTTGGTTTGGAAGTGGCACAATAATCAATATAAAACTTAAATCTTGCTATATAGTCATATTGCATCTTGTTGGGGATTCATTTTCAAGGATGTGACTCAAGGTTATGAACGTTAGAATTACAGTACTCCAGGAAGTCCCTTAGGTAAGTACCTTACTGAGATGTGTGCATTGGCTCTGGGGAAGTCCCAGGTGGCAAGTTTTTCTTCTCTAGAGTTGGAAGAAATGGCTGTTTCTTCAGAAAAGTCCTAGATGGGACAGTTGGCTTGTAGAGTTCATGTTTAATCTCTTGACTTAGACTTGTAGTGGCGAGATGAGAGACCCAGAGAAAGGACTGATGGAGGGCTCAGTCCTGTCTTATGCTCACTCAGGATGGTGGCTTCCAAGGCCCCAGCTAGGTGATTCTGCAGCTTAGAATCACCCAGGGAAAATGTTCACAAAGCTGGGCACAGTGGCTCATCCCTATAATCCCAGCACTTTGGGAGGCCAAAGTGGGAGGATCACTTGAGCCCAGGAGTTCAAGAGCAGCCTAAGCAACATAGTGAGACCCCATTTCTACAAAAAAATAGAGAAAAATCAGCCAGGCATGGTGGCACGCTTCTGTGGTCCTAACTACTGGGGAGGTTGAGGCAGGAGGATGGTTGAGTTCGGGAAGTTGAGGCTGCAGTGAGCCATGATTGTGCCACTGTACTCCAGCCTGGGTGACAGAGTGAGACCATGTCTCAAGAAAAACCACACAAACCCCCATAAATTCTCTGTGGCTGGGCCCCACCCACACTAATTATGTCAGAATCCTTTGGGGAGAGAGCTCACACACAACTTCAAGCTAATACATCTTTCAGGGAGAACATATTCTGGGGATGGTTACCCTTAGCAGGAATTTGGAGGGTGAGATTTCTGAGGTCCAGTTTCAAAGTGATACCCTAAATCCCTGCTTCTGAAACTTCAATGTGCATTGAAATTTTCCAGAGTCTTATTGAAAGTGCAGACTCTGATTCTGTACGCTTGTTTGGTTAGACCTGGCATTTCTAACAAGCGGCCAGGTAATTTGCCTGCACCCATTGAGTGGCAAAGCCCTAGGTGATACGTGGAATTAAGTACTGTGACATTTGAGAAGTGTTTCCTTAGAGCGTGACCCCAACCCTGGCTGCACATTAATATCACCTGGGTAACTTAAAAAAAATACCAGTGCCAGGTCTCTCCCCCTGGAGTCCTCCTGATTCAGTTGGTTTGGGGTGGTTCCCCAGCGGCAGTAATTTAAAGAAAGTTCTCTAGGTGATTCTAATGTGCAGCTACGGTTAAGAATGTCTGCTCTAGAGGCTTGCTGTTTTTTTTTGTTTGTTTTTAGCTTGAGATCAATGCTGCTCAGTAGAAATATAATGCATGTGAATTACTTACCTGTGACTCTGTGATAAATTACCCAGGGCTTAATTATTCACACCGTTTCTGAGGATCAGGAATCCAGGAGCAGCTTATCTAGGTGGTTCCAACTCAAGATCCTGCCCGAGGTTTTTGTCAGGATGTAGGCTGGGCTGTGATTACCAGAGACTGGACTGGGGCCAGTGAATCTGCTTCCAAGAAGTTTCCCTAACATGGCTGTGGATAGAGACTCAGACCTCGCCACATAGGCCTCTCTATAGGGCTGCTCATAGCATTGCATTTAACTTCTCCTGGAATAAATGAAGAGAGAGAGAGTGAGCAAGCGAGACAGACAGCAGTTGCAGTCTTTTGTAGTCTAATAGTGGAGTGACATACTGTATTAGTTAAGGTTCCCTGGAGAAACAGAACCAATAAGATATATGTTTATAAGGGGAGAGTTATTATGGGAGTTGGCTCATGTGATTAGGGAGGCCAAGAAGTCCCATGATCTCTGCCATCTGCAAGCTGGAGAATCAGGAAAGCTGGCAGCAGAATAATTCAGTCCAGGTTTGAAGCTGACACCTGAGAACTGACTGGGGATGGGGATGGTGGATGGGGTACTGGGGTAAGTCCCAGAATCTGAAGACACAAGAACCAGGAGCTCCGATATCCAAGGAAGGGCAGGAGAAGATGGATATTCCATCTTAAGGAGGGAGGGAGGGAAAGGGATGGGGGGTGGGGGTGGGGAGAGGGAGAGAGAGAGAGAGGGACAGAGAGAGAGAGAGAGAGAGAGAGAGAGAGAGAGAACAAGTTTGCCATTCCTTTATCTTTTTGGTTTATTTGGGCACTCAATGGATTGGATGATGCCTGCCCTCATTGGTGAAGGCCATCTTCTTTACTTAGTCTACTGATTCAAATGCTAACCTCTTCTGGAAACACCCTCAAAGACATACTCAGAAATAATGTTTTGCCAGTTTTCTGGGTATTCCTTAGCCCAGTCAAGCTGACACATACAATGGACCATCACCCATGTCATCACTTCAGAAGTATTCTATGTGTCATGCAGGCCAACCCTGATACCTCTGAGGCAATGTGGGAGGGACTACACAAGGCTGTGAAGACCAGGAGGAAGAGATCACTGGGGATCATCTTGAAAGTGGTTACCATAATGCATGAAAGTAATTTCAAATTCTCTAGTGGGCATAATAAAAAAGTAAAAAAAGATGGCATTGATTTTAATAATATATAGTATTCTATTTACCCCAAATATTCAAACATTATCATCTCAACAGGTGATCAACATAAAATTATGATAATGATGATAAAATCATTATGAATGAGTTGTTTTGCATATTTTCTTTCTATTTGAACTCCTGTGTATTTTACACTTACAGCACACCTCACTTTGGATTTGCCACGTTTCAAGTGTGCAATGGCCAAGTTTGTTTCCTCTCCTGAACTCCATATGTGCCTCTTGTCTGGATGGATCCAAATGGCAGATTATCCTACTTTGTAAAAGGATCACCTTCTATTTTTCTCCAAATGATAGACCCATTGGTTTACTTCACATTCCAGCTAAACTATCTGCCAACTTCCCTCTTATGAATTGAAAGTTGCATTTCTCAAGCTTATATTTTGTATGAGGAGCCCCTGGGTTTTTCAACACATTTATCCCACATTATTGACCTTTTTATGCCACTTGTGCAAAAATTTGTCAGGCACGATGTAAGAATTACAATAGCAATGACTGATTTTGGCCTTCGACTCAGTGGAGAGAAACTAATTATGTGGAGAGAAACCAATTATGGGCTAAACTACAGGAGCTCATTATGAATCCCCACCCTGCCACAGGTGCTTATGTAGAACTTGCACCTCAACACAGCATGAGGGCCAGGTCGGCAGAAATAGTGTCCTGATGAGCCAAATAGCAATTCCAACTACAGCACAAGAGCGATGTACTTCCGTCCCTGCTTCCTTTAACGGGTATTTTATGACTTGAAAGATTTTTGGATGAGCTGAATGCATTACTGTTTGCTATAGCGAACAGAAAGTTACAAGTCTTTTCTATGCAGATGACATGGTTTTATTGTCATGAACCAGGAATAGCCTCATTACTGTCAGAAAAAAGTGGCTCAGGATGAGCTACTCCCACCCCCCAATTGTCATTTTTGGCAGATGTCCTCCAACATTGAGTTGGCTTTTATTCAACAACCTGTGAATTGCATTCACTCGTTTAGTCACTTAGGGTTCCATTTTCCCACTAAGCCATTCGAGGGACTCACCAGGAGGTTATATTTGCTTAACATTAGGCATCTTATGGGTGCAGTATTAGGAATTTTCTAAGTCCTTCTTGGGAGATTAGTAAAAGGTACTTTGAAAAACATTGAAGCTAAAATGATCATGGCTTAGCTTGATCGGCTAGGACATTTTTTTCTTGTGTGGGAGCAGATCCATAGCCATCTTCTCTAGGAAAACAGCTTTCCACAGGCATCCCATAGGTATTGCCACGGGCATTCCCATGGTATTCTCACAGGTATCCCCACAGGGGTTCTCACAGGCATTCTCACAGGTATTCTCACTGGTATCCCCACATGCATTCTCGTAGGTATACTCACGGGTAATCCCACGGGCATTCTCACAAGCATTCTCTCAGGTATCCCCACAGGCATTCTCACAGGTATTCTCACTGGTATCCCCACATGCATTCTCATAAGTATTCTCACGGGTAATCACACAGGCATTCTCACAGGCATTCTCTCAGGTATTCCTACAGGCATTCTCACAGGTATCCCCACAGGCATTCTCACAGATATTCTCACTGGTAACCACACGGGCATTCTCACAGGCATTCTCTCAGGTATTCCTACAGGCATTCTCACAGGTATCCCCACAGGCATTCTCACTGGTATTCACACAGGTATTCTCACTGGCATTCCCACAGGTATTTCCACAGGTATTCCTACAGATATTTCCATAGGTATTCCCATAGGTATTTCCAAAGGTATTTCTATAGGCTTTCCCACAAGTATCCCCACAGGCATTCTCACAGGTATTCTCACTGGTATCCCCACATGCATTCTCATAGGTATTCTCACTGGTAATCACACGGGCATTCTCACAAGCATTCTCTCAGGTATCCCCACAGGCATTCTCACTGGTATTCACACAGGTATTCTCACTGGTAATCGCACAGGTATTCTCACAGGCATTCCCACAGATATTTCCACAGATATTCCTACAGCTATTTCCATAGGTATTCCCATAGGTATTTCCAAAGGTATTTCTATAGGCTTTCCCACAAGTATCCCACAGGTATTCTCACAGGTATACTCACTGGTATTCACACAGGTATTCTCTCAAGTATTCCCACAGGGATTCTCACAGGTATTCTCACTGGTGATCGCACAGGTATTCTCACAGGCATTCCCACCGATATTTCCACAGGTATTCTTACAGATATTTCCATAGGTATTCCCATAGGTATTTCCAAAGGTATTTCTGCAGGCTTTCCCACAAGTATCCGCACAAGTATTCCCACAGGTATTCTTACTGGTATTCACACAGGTATTCTCACTGGTATTCACACAGGCATTCTCTCAAGTATTCCCACAGGCATCCCCACAGGTATTCTTACTGGTATTCACACAGGGATTCTCTCAAGTATTCCCACAGGGATTCTCACCGGTATTTATACAGGCATTCCCACAGGTATCCCAACAGGCATTCCCACACGCATTCCCATAGGCATTCCCACAGATATTTCCATAGGTATTCCTGTAGGTATTTCCAAAGGTATTTCTATAGGCTTTCCCACAAGTATCCCCACAGGTATTCCCACAGGTATTCTTACTGGTATTCACACAGGTATTCTCTCAGGTATTCTCGCAGGGATTCTCACAGGCATTTTCACAGGCATTCTCTGAGGTATCCCCACTGATATTTCCACAGGTATTCCTACAGATATTTCCATAGGTATTCCCATAGGTATTTCCAAAGGTACTTCTACAGGCTTTCCCACAAGTATCCCCACAGGTATTCTCACTGGTATCCCCACAGGCTTTCTCACAGATATTTCCACAGGCATTCCTACAGGTATTTCCAGAGGTATTCCCATAGGTCTTTCCAAACGTATTTCTACAGGCATTTCCATAGGCATTCCCAAAGGCATTCTCACAGGCATCCCCACAGGTATTCTCATTGGTATTCACAGAGGTATTCTCATGGGTTTTTTCACTGGTATCCCCATGGGTATTCACACAGGTATTCTCACCGGATCTCCACAGGTATCCCTTCGGCCTCTCTTTGGGCAGAGGTTGGTCTATTAATTGATTAACACACTTGGATCATCCCTCGGCTGGTAACATGGAATATCTGTGTGACAGGCCGGTGCTTGCTATAGACTACAACTTCAAACTGTTTGCTCTCCACGTCGTATCTCTAATTAGCTGGAGAGAAAAGCACTCCGAGAATTCCTTTTAGAAGGTGAATAAGATCTTGAGGAGGCTCTCATGATGTTCCTTTTGTGAGGGTCCATGGTTAAATTCTCCTCAGACTACCACGCCAGGGAGAGCCCACTTCCAGGAGCAACTGGGCCATTTTCTGTCTTTTAGAATCACTGTCATCCTGACGGCTTGTAGGTGGCTGTGTTTCTGTTCCCTCCAACCCCCATGGCTACCAGAAACTAAGCTGAAAAATTCATCTGGCCAGCTAGACATGGTGGCTCACGTCTGTAATCCCAGCATTTTGGGGGGCCTAGGTGGGTAGATTGCTTGAGGACGGGAGTTTGAGACCAGACTGGCCAACATGGTGAAACCCTGTCTCTATTTAAAAAAATACAAAAATTAGCCAGGCAAGGTGGCACGCACCTGTAATCCCAGCTACTCAGGAGGCTGAGCATGAGAATTGTTTGAACCCAGGAGGCAGAGGTTGCAGTGAGCCGAGACTGTGCCACTGCACTCCAGCCTGGGCAACAGAGTGAGACCCGGTCTCAAAAAAAATAAATAAAAATTCATCTGGCTTCCTGGATCTTAGAATATGCTGGGGCATCTTGCTGCCTCCCTCTTCCTTTTCCTCACCCTGGTTTCTTTATTCCTTCCTTTAAAAGATGGGCTGTGTTGCATGTATTCAAATCAACCTCTTCAAGCCTTTTCCAGGATGAGGCAGTGGTGCAAATAAATACTAAGAATGGAACAAGACATTAATCATCTTAAACAAGTAAGGGGTATAGAGGGGACTGGGACTGAGGTATCCTTCCTGCCTAGCCAGTGCTTTCCTGTCAGACTGTGATCCAGGCACACGGGTGTAACAGAAAACTTTAGCTGTCGTGGAGGCAACATACTCCTGCCCCAACAGATAGGAGTCATGGATAAAATGTAAACACAGAATCTTTGATCCATGGGGAAGTTCTAAACACAGACTGCCGAATGCTGAGGGACTTCAGCAGAGGCAAAGAAGAAATTGCCTCTGACACACGTGCATGTGTGTTTGTGACGTGTGTGTGTAAGTGTACTCAAATGTGGACAAGGAGAACCCGAACCTTTCAGCCTGGCAAACAAGCTATCACTATCCACTCTCTGCCTCTGTTTATTTCTCTGCACCAAGTCTACTCAAGTGACTTCTTGTCCTGTGACAGTCAGTGCATCATCTGGGTGACTTTTTCTGTCCTTCCTGGCTGGGTCAGCTTCCCTCTTCTGTACAACCCCACTTCTCTGTATCCCTCAGCTCTCGGAACGTTCTACTACTATAGTTTCCATAAGCTGGCATGCTGTTTACTTGTGGAATTCCCCTGCACCGTGAGACCCTTGAAAGCACACGGCTTACTCATCTTTGCCACTCTATACCTAACACAGTAGCTCGCACATAGCAGGTGCTCAGTGAGCGTCCGCTGAATAAAAACACACGTGTTAGCACATGTGTTTGCGTTATTTTTGGTTGCATGTCACAGAATACAGAAATAAGTGTCTTAAAAATAGGAATTTAGTTTTTGTCATGTAAATGGAGTCCCAGTATTGTCAGGCCAGGGCTGGAGTGGCAGGTCCACTGTTATCAAGGTCTGCCACCTCAGCGTCAGCTTCCAGCCACATGGTTGCCTCATAGTCCAAAATAGCTGCTGGAGCTCCAGACATCAGGTTTGCATTCCAGGTAGAAAGGAAAAAGGATAAATCCCTCAGCTGGGTTAGCCTCTGCCAAGAGCCCTTCTGGCGGGAACTCCATTCGATAATTTTCTCTTTCATCTCATTGGTCCCCACTCCTTGCTTAGGTGAAAGCAGGGCTCAAAAATGTGTTTTTTCACATGTGAACATTGCTGCTTTAAATAAATTGGGGTACTGTGGATTAAAAGCAGACACATGAATATTGGATCCACAGCCAGCAGCCTGCACTACTGCTCATAGTTGGGAGTTACAATGAGTAAGTCCCCCAGAAACCTGGAGAAAGGAGGTTTGGTAATCCTTTCAGTGACAAAGTAATAATAAACACATAATACACTGAAGCAGAGGTGGCTAAAGGCAACTTAGTGAGCCACAAAGTCTGTAACCTCTCAAGAATGTGTCAATATGAAAGGAATTGTCAGCTGGGACATGGAGATCCTGGGGCACAGAGAAAACCTACAAACGGGCAAATGTAGCAGTGCTTCTTCCCTACCCCTGGGGTCAGGGACTACAGCCAAGGGGAGAACTTTAGCAAGTAGACGTTAGTTATTTTGATTCCACTGGGGATGTGCGTGTAACCAATTGCATATGAATTCTAGCCTGCTTCACCATTTTGGAGTACAAACAGCTGTAAAACGAAACAGCTCAAACCCTCAGCTCACTAATGTGAGCATGCTGGGACTCAAACAAAAATATAGAACACAGCAGGCAATAGTGTTATGAAGGAGTAAAAAAGCAGAGTAAGGAGATGAGAATGGGAGGGGAAGGTGCCAGATGGGGAATGGCAGTGTCAGGGAAGCAGCCCAGAAAGAACTCAAAGATAGAAACCAAGATGCTGAATCCTTTTCCCAGCTCTGCTGTTGACTTGCTCGTGTGTGGGTAGACAATGGGGTCTCAGTTTCCACCTCGGTGGAATGGGGCAATGGAGCTGGTGACCAGAAGAGTGCAGTGATTGATAATAACATGGACAGTCAAATGGGTGTTTCCTGCGTTTGAATTCCAGCTCAACAGTTACTGGCAATAACTGAGCAAGAAACAAATCTCTCTGAATCTTGGTTGCCTTGTCTGTAAAATGCGGATGAGAGCAGTTACCACGCAGGTGTGTTTTGAGGTAGCTTAAATGAGGCCATGCAAATAAAGTGCCTGCACGAAGTTGGTGCACAATTAATAGCAGTTTCTTCCTCTGCAAACTCTGACTTCAACCAGGAAGAGCTGTCCTTTCTGGACAATCTGCTTCCAGCTGTCAACGCCGCTGACTGCGGACTCTCTTTTGCAACCTGTCTCCCTGGTGACAGTTACTATGATTATCTCAAAAGTTCAGCACTACCACCCTTTTCACGGAAGGCCCGATGTGCTGCTGTCTGGAGTCCTTTAAACCCACGATTTATTAGGTTGTTGTCCCTGATGATTTCTCAAATGAACCCATAGATTAGAAATGTTAATAAAGCATCCCTGGGGTCTTCAACTGATAACTTGTGTTATGGGGTCCATTTATGAACCAATGATGGTCAATTGACACTTCCACTGCATCCCCATCCATCAGGATGCAAATGGCCCTTGGACTCGTGCTCTGGGGGTTGAAAGGCAATGGCAGCTGGATTATGTGGCTCCAATGATGTGGGTCTTCCTTTCCTCTGCACCTGCAGGCTCCCTCTATTGTCAGATCTATGACTAAAATATACTTGACATTCCTCTACTCCCCATCTGCATTCCAGAGCTTTCGCTTGGTGGATGATGCATGCATGGATTTATTCATTCACTTACTCATTCCTTCCTTCTTGCCCACTTTCCTTCCCTCCTTTGTAAGGTTTACTGAGGTACCTCTTACCTTTTTGGACAAGTCTATAATTGTATAAATGATAAACATGAAGGTCGTGATGATTTTTAAATATCATATCTGTTTTTCAATATTAATACATGCCAGAAACTCCCTTTTCCAGAGGAGGAAACTGGGGCACACAAGCAATAATATAACTTTTTCTTTTTTTTTTTTTTTTTTTTTGCAGTTGCAAGATTTAATAGAGTGAAAACAGAGCTCCCATACAATAATATAACTTTTTCAAGATCAGAGAGGTTAAGTGACTTGCCCAAAGGCACACAGCAAATAAGTAGGGAAGCCAGGGAACTTTGCGCAAATTATTTTAACACTGTGTGCTTCAGCCTCTTCTTCTGTAAAATGGGTCTACTGATTGAACCTGTGTCACAGGGCTGCTGTGAGAATTGAACATAAAGGGCATAGAACAGTGCCGGGTCTGCAGAAAGCCCTCAGGATGCAGTAGCAGCTGCTATCAGCACTATACCTAAAGTTGACCATTTAAGTTAAAATCTCCCAAAAACCTCATGAGGAAAAGGAGGTCCAGAGAGGTGAGTAACTTGCCCAAGGCCACACAGTTAAGAAACAGAGAAGGTGGAATTTGAACCCAGGTCTGTCCTGCTCTAGAGCCTATACACTTAAAAACCGCTTTATCTTCCAGTGCTCATTGAAAAACCAAAGCTAAAAGTGACTATTAGAAACTGCCTTGGGGTTTTCAGTGGAAGGTTAAGTTCCTTCACTTGGGGCATCAGGGAAGACTTCCTGGAGGAAGGGGCACTTGCACAGTCTCTGAGATGAGGGGATGGAGAATGTGCTGTGGAGATGGGGATGTCAACCTAGGGGAAAGCCTCACCTGGAGAAGAGCTGCCATGAATTTGCTGGGGTTGGAGGGAGGCTGAATATTCTTGCCATGGACTCTGGACTCTGGGCCTGGCCACTGGGAGGGCCAAACCTGGCCCATCCTCTTGTGCCTGCTCTCAACTGACCTACGTCCAGCTTTTCATGACCTAATAGAGGTGGGGATAAAACAGTGTTTCCCTCTCAGCTGTCAAGAGCTTGAGATGAGATGAGGCCACTGAACTTCACAGGTGTGCAGTGAATGGCGACTTGGTGACTTGCATGATAGACCTCATCATGGTTGCAAACAGAACCCTGCAATTGGAGCAGCTCTTTGTTTGATGAAGGGAAAGAGGAACAGGGAAGGCGAGCACAGGCAGGAGCTCTGAGGGACATGGGCTGAGGAGCTGAGTGGGCGGGTCTATCATTGCCACGAAGGGGTGGTCAGCTAGTGCGGGGTCACCAGCAGAGGGACAGACCAGAGAATAGGTAGCATGACAGAGCTTCTCTAGGAGGTTTTCTCTATAGAGGGCAGTGCAACCCATCTCTCACTCTGGAAAGGTCTGCTGGTGCTGCTAGAACTTTCTGGAAATTGCAGTATTTACACAGTGGATTTTTTTAGTAGAAAAGGCCTGGAGAGCCCATTAACCCAGATGGGGAACTGCAGCCCATGAGGAGAGGCCATTTCCCCAAGCCCACAAGGTCAGTTTGTGGAAAAGCCAAGACCTGTGGCAACTGGGTCTCTTGATTACTGATTTTGCAGCATAGAATATTCCAGAGCTGGGGGACCCCTTGTGGAGGCTGATGGCAGCGTCAACCAGTGGCTAAGGCTCCAGGCTGCCAAGGTCAGACCATCTCAGCTTCACCTCTTCATTCTGCTGCTTGCTGTGAGCTTTGTCTGGTTACTTCTTGGGACTCAGTTTCCCTCATGTCTTCAGTGCGACTAACAATGCCTATGTCACAGGCCTGCTGTGAGCATTAAATGAGATCATATGAGGCCAGCACAGTGGATGCTGTGGCCGTTTCCATGCGCCCTTGCCTTGGGTTGGGGCAACTGATCGGGCTCCAGGCCTCAGCCCAGATTGACCTAAACCAGGAACCTATGAATGATCCCTGCCTCCTTTTCCTCACATCCCACACCCACTCCATCAGCAAATCCTGCTGGTTAGAACTTTAGGTATATCCTGAATCCCCCCACTTCCCACACCACCTTGGCGGCCCCTGGAGTGAGCCAGGTGCATTCCTCCTGGACAACCACACTTAGGCTCTCTGCCTTCTTCTTTCTCTTCAGTCTGTGCTCCATCCAGCTGCCATATCTGTCTCCATATCTGTCCATTCCTGGTCAAAAGCCTTCCCTGACCCCACATAAAGTCAGATGGCCCATGAGACTCTGTAAAATCTGATCCTCATGGGCTGTCTTCCAGTTACACAGACCTGCTGGCTCTTCCTCAGAACACATCAGACGCACTTTCATCTTTACACTTGCTGTTCCCTCTGCCAGGAATGCTTTTCCCTACATAGTCTCATGGCTCATTCTTCCATTCCTTCCAGTCTGCCCAGACACCATCTTCTCAACCAGGCCCACCTTGCTCGCTCCTGCTCTGGCATTCCTGATCCTCCTTTTCTTTTTTTCTTTTTTTTTTTTTTTGAGATGGAGTCTCATTTTGTTGTCCAGGCTGGAGTGCAGTGGCGTGATCTCAGCTCACTGCACACTCTGCTTCCCGGGTTCAAGCGATTCTCCTGCCTCAGCCTCCCGAGTAGCTGGGATTACAGGTGTGTGCCACCACGCCCAGCTAATTTGTGTATTTTTAGTAGAGACAGGGTTTTACTATGTTGGCCAGGCTGATCTTGAACTCCTGACCTCAGGTGATCCTCCTGCCTCGGCCTCCCAGAGTGCTGGGATTACAGGAGTGAGCCACGGCGCTCGGCCTCCTTTTCATTTTTTATAACACTTGTCTCCTTCCAATATGCTATTTAATTTACTTACTGAGTATGTCCATGGTCTAGAGCTTATCCCCCCACCATCCCTTCCATCAAGCTGAATTAGAGGCCATGAGAGTCAGGATTTTTTATCTCTTTGTTCACAGCTGTATTCCAAGCATCTAGCACAGTATTTGGCACAACAGATATTTATTGATCAAAAGAAAGAAAGAAAGGCTCTTGCTTCAGTTTTTCCTGGCCTGGGTCACCTCTCTGGCCACACAAGTATGAATGTATTTCTTTCATAAGCTTCCAGTTACCCACTGGAATATCAGTTCCGTCTGTCTAATGCCAACCTTATGAGTCCCTCATCCTGTTAGCTGATACCAACCTGTCACTGAAATATACAGCTAAATATAATGAAAGTGAGTTAATTGTATATTATGTTTAACACTATTTTATTAGAATTAAAATTGTGCACTAATTTTTAGAGTGAACACAGAATGAATCACATGTTCCTCTTTTTGGTAGAATTTTTCTGACAAGATGGTGTAATGGTATGTTAGGACAACCTTCACTTCTTATTATATTTTCATAGCACAACTATAAAGAGGGTCATTTTTTTTTTTTTGCAAAAATGCTTGAGGGTTTCGTAAGTTTTCCTAAGGGCTTTTTGTAGTACTTTGATATTGAAATCATTCTCTTTTGAGGTACTTATTCATTATCCTCATTGATTTTTCTCTTTATTAATTATTAACAGGCCTAACCCTTCTACATAGCTACTAATAACTAGCATTTTTTGAGAGCTCACCATGTGCCAGGCTCTTCATATGTGTTCATGGATTTATTTTTACTACAACTCAACGTGGTAGGTCATATTGTGGTACACATGTTTTGTTTGTTTGTTTGTTTTGTTTGTTTGTTTTTTTGTTTTTGTTTTTGAGGCAGAGTCTCACTCTCTCACCCAGGTTGGAGTGCAATGGTGTGATCTCGGCTCACTGCAACCTCTGTCTCCCAGGTTCAAGCAATCCTCCTGCCTCAGCCTCCCGAGAAGCTGGGATTACAGGCATGTACCACCATGCCCGGCTAATTTTTGTATTTTTAGTAGAGACAGGTTTTCGCCATGTTGGCCAGGTGGTCATGAACACCTGACCTCGGGTGATCACCTGTCTCGGCCTCCCAAAGTGCTGGGATTACAGGCGTGAGCCACCGCGCCTGGCCTGTGGTGCACATGTTCTAAGGAAATTGAGGCATAGAGAAGTTAAATACCTTGTTCACAGATGTGCAACTAGGAAGTGGGGAGCAGGGACTTGGATCCACACCGTCTGCTGCTTAACCACTCATTTGTCAGAGACTTCGTGTGTGTCCCAAGCCATACGCTAATAGCACTTTCACTGATCTCATGTGAGATTTGCATTTAGAAATAAGGTTAATCTGCATTTCTTGTGTAAACTATTATGGGATGTTAAGGTCCCACAGTCTGTAAGACCGACTGATGATTGACCCAAGGGTGTGATGAGCCGTGATAGAGATGCGTAAGTGTTAAATAGGGTGGGACATTTGAGCAAGCTGGCCACTTCATTATTAAGTTTGGCCATGGAAAGAATTGATGTTTGGCCGTGGAAGGAATTTACTAGGGATACCTAGAACATGAGAACTGCTCTAGGGACCCCTAGTAAATTCACAACTGTATGTTTAGAGTGAAAGCCCAGGCCTCACCCCAGGCTGTATCCTGGATTCATTCTTCGCCATCATGAAAAGCCAATCACCACAGTTTGATGGGGCAGGGCCAGGGCTGGGGACAAAGGGTGAAGGTGGAGGCGTCAAATTAACATTTGTCAAATACAAACTCTGTGCTAGGCCTTCTGGGAGATTTAATTAGTCTTTACTACAAGCCAAGGAGAAAGGTATTATCATGCCCATTTTACAGATGAAGAAACTGAGGCATGGGGGGGTGAAGTCACTTGGTCTAGGCACTCAGATCTAGGTTCAAATTTGGGTTGGTGGGTCTCCAAAACCTAGGCATTTTGCACCGTCCTGCACTGCTTCCTTAAGAATGCAGAAAGATTAACCGAGGGGGGACCGTGGAGACGGATGGTACCGTTTGGTTGGGAGGCGGCCAGAGTGGTGGTAAAGGCAGGAAGTGAGATCGATCTGGCCACAGTCTACCAGCATCTGTTCCCATTGGCTGCTGCCTGGGTTCTCCAATTCCTTACAGTTGGAAACAGACTTGTTGTTTTCTAGGAATGAAAAGGAAGGATGGCTATCTGATGATTTCATCACTGCTACTTAGGAAAACCCCAGGATACTCCCCAATTTAGGAGCTGCGGCAAAGTCGCTTCTTTGCCATCTCAGAAATGTCAGGTTGACCAGATGGAGAGGAGCCAGAGTGAGGCAGAGAACACAGCGAGTTTTCCAGCAGAGCCCCGCAGAACGTAGAGGGAGTGTGTCTCTTGATTCATGTACCAATTACACACAGTGTATTACATTACAAGGCTAACAGGAAATAAACCAGAGCAGCATCTGTCTGCGCCAGGGCCCACACACGCCTCTGGATTGCTCAGTCCTGGCTGGCCACCTCCTGGCCTGGCCCCTGGAAGCTGAGGAAGTGGATTATATTTTTGGCTCATCCAGGAATCGTTTTCAGGGGGGCCATGCGCATTGAACAGCCAGTCTGTGTCGGTCAGGAGACCCCTTTTCTGTCCCTATGGCTTTCCTAGATGGTTTGGGGTTTAGGTCCATGTGTAGGGTCTTGGCTAAAGAAATAGAAGATGGGCCAGGTGCAGTGATTCACACCTGTAATCCCAGCACTTTGGGAGGCTAAGGCAGGCAGATCACTTGAGGTCAGGAGTTTGAGACCAGCCTGACCAACATGGTGAAACCTTGTCTTTACTAAAGATACAAAAATTAGCTGGGAATGGTGACATACACCTGTAATCCCAGCTACTGGGGAGACTGAGGCAGGAGAATCGCTTGAGCTTGGGAGGCAGAGGTCGCAGTGAGCCGAGATTGCACCATTGCACTCCAGCCTAGGTGACAGAGCTAGACTCCATCTCGGAAAAAAAAAAAAAAAAAAAAAAGAGGAATATGGGCCCGCTGCATCATTCCCTCTTGTGCTTCCAGAACTGCACTGGCCATGGTGCAGAGCCTGTGGCTAGTCAGAAAAAGTTCCCCTCAGAGCAGATGTAGCCCTGAGGGTGCAGCGCTTGATAAATAGAGTGAGAGAGGGTTTAGCTGGCTCATTCAGCTGGTGCTCCTGTGCAGAGCACAACCTGCTTAATAGTGGGCAATCTGAGGGAGATGAGAGGGGGCAGAGTCGGGTGTGGGGAGGAAAGGGAATACACCTGGAGGAAGAGGTGCAGCCAGGCTCAAAGACTGGGAAGTAGGCATGTGCCTCTCCCTCTGCCTCGGCTCCATTCCCTTCCCCCAATTTCCCTACTATGGCTTTTTCCTACTTGTCTTAACATCTCCTTCCAATTTCCCCACTCCGTGCAAGATGACTCCATTAGGACTTTGGGCGACAGTCTTGGGGTTCAAACGGACTCTGGAGGAAATGGAAATGATTAATAGCATAAGAAAATGTGCTCAATCTCATCAGTAACCCAGGAAATGGAAATTTAAGTGACAACAGGATGCCTGGGAATTTTATACAAGAGAGGGATGTGGTCGGAATGCTTTCTGAGGCAGTCACCTTTGCTCATTTTGAATTTTTTATTCGGCATATAACTCCCTGGGTATGTCTCAAGATGTAAGTGATTCAAATTTTTTATTTTAAAAAATTCTGCGAGACCGTTATACTGAAAATGGGCCTTATGATCACTGGTAGATGGTCCCCAAACCCCTGCTGTTCTGGAACTGGAAGGTAGAGTTAAAAAGAGCCATCTCATGGTCTGGGGTCAGGATACACATAGGAATGAGTGTGATTTAGGGTGGTAGAGCTCTGCAGGCCAGCACAACTGGGCTGAATCCAGGTGTGACACTCCCTGCCACGTGACCTTGGCTAGGACAAGGTGGACACCAAGTTCTGCCACAAGATGCCATCCCTCAGCCACTGGGAGGGTCATGAGGGGAAGAATGCTTGAATTCCAGCTCCATCCTTTATTTGCTGAGTGATCTTGTGATATGGTTTGGCTGTGTCCCCACCCAAATCTCATCTTGAATTGTAGCTCACACAATTTCCACGTTTTGTGGGAGGAACCTGGTGAGAGGTGATTGAATTATGGGGGTGCGTCTTTCCTGTGTTGTTCTCTTGATAGTGAATGAGTCTCAAGAGATCTGATGGTTTTAAAAATGGGGGTTTCCCTGCACAAACTCTCTTTTTGCCTGCCACCATTCACGGAAGATGGGACTTGCTCCTCCTTGCCTTCCGCCATGATTGTGAGGCCTCTCTGGCCATGTGGAACTGTAAGTCCAATTAAACTTCTTCTTTTTGTAAATTGCCCAGTCTCAGGTATGTCTTTATTATTAGTGTGAAAACGGACTAATATATCTTGCTTTGTTTACCCTGCACTTCTGAACCTCAGTTTCCTGGCCTGTGAAGTGGGGCTGCATGCACTTCCTCAACAGGGTCAGCACATGAGATTAAATGAGATAATGTGTAAAGAAGGCTCAGTATAGTGACTGGAACATCATAGGAATTCAAAATGTGACTTTAGATATGATGGAGGTTGACTGGGAGGAGGGGGTAAGGCATCCCAGGGAGTGTGTACAGCTTGAGTAGGGAAAAGCATCGAGCAGTTTGTCTTGTTGGGGGAATTGTAAGTTGCTCATGGAGTCTGCCATGTACGGAAGGGTGTGGTGAGAGATGGAACCGAAGAGGTAACAGGCAGTTAATCATGGAGGTGTTGAATATGCTGTGGAATCGTCTGTTTCCTCTGATCCGGAGGTGTGCCAGGTATTACCTGATTGTGTTTCTGCTCGCAATTCATCCTCCTTTGCCCTGCTGTGTGACAGTGGAGTGGGACCCTGTGAACTTTTCTCCTTTGCCAGCTAGCACAATGCTAGACCTTGGCAGTAGGGGGCACTGGAGGAAAAGTCTTCTTTTCGTGGTTCCTATGCTTTTGTTTCTTCTGGCTCTGTGAGCAAGTGGCTTCCACATCAGCAGAGCAATTCCCTGCTGGTGATATGCAGGAGACTTATAAATGCACAGCCTCTGGTGAGAAACCAACCAGTGGGTGGTTTCCTGTCTGCTATGATCTGAATGTGTCCTCTCAAATGTATATGTTGAAACTTAATCACTAAGGTGATAGGATTAAGAGGTGGGGCCTTTAGGAGGTGATTAGGAATGAGAGCTCTGCCTTTATGGATGAGATTGGTGACATTATGGAAGGGCTGGAGAGAGCTAGCTAGGGCCTCCTGCCCTTCCATCTCTTCTGCCACGTGAGGACATAGCATTCATCCTCTCTGGAGAATGCAGTATTTAAAGCAACATCTTAGAAGCAGAGACTGAGCCCTCACCAGACACTGAAACTGCTGATGTCTTGATCTTGGCCTTCCAAGCCTTCAGGGCTGTGAGGAATACATTTCTATTATTTATAAATTACCCAGTCTGTGGTATTTTGTTACAGCAGCAGGAATGGACTAAGATACTGCCCATTAGCCCTGGCCTGTGGCACCCTAGCAAACACTACCATCCCCCAGCTGTCCTTGGTCACACCCTCCTAGGGCTGCTGAAATAGATGGCCACCAACAAAGTGACTTAAAACAACAAAAATTAATTCTCTCACAGTTCCCAAGACTGGAAGTCCAAAATCAAGGTGTTGCCAGGGCCATGGTCTTTATGGAGGCTGATTTTAGTCCATTTTGTGCTGTTGTAACTGAATACCACAGACCTGGTTATTTTTTGAAGAACAGAAATGTATTTCTCACAGTTCTGGAGGCTGGGAAGTCCAAGATCAAGGTGCTGGTGTCTGGTGAAGGCCTTCTTGTTGCATCCTCACAAGGTGGAAGGTAGAAGGATAAACCCTGAGTCTTCACATGGCAGAAGAGAGAGACAGAGAGAGAGAGAGAGAGAGAGAGAGAGAGAGGGAGAGAGAAATTCCCTCCTGAAAGCCCTTTTTATAGAAGCATTAATCCATGAGGCTTCTGCCTTCATGACCTAAACAGCATCCATTAGGTCCCACCTCCCAACACAGTTGCATTGGGGATTAGGTTTCAACCTGAGTTTTAGAGGAGATAAAAACATTCAAACCATAGCAAGACTGTAAGTAGGGATCTATTCTGTGCCTTTCCCTTAGCTCCTAGTGTTCCCAGCAATCCTTGACATTCATAGGCTTATAGCTGCATCATTCCAGTCTCTGCCTCTGTTGTCATATGGCCTTTTCTCTCTGTGTTTGTCTCTGTGTCTCTTCTCCTTTTCTTGTAAGGACACCAGTCATATTGGATTAAGGCCCATCCTAATGACCTCATTTTAACTTGGTTGCATCTGCAAGAATCCTATTTCCAAATAAGGTCACACTCACGGGTTCTGGAAGTTAGGACTTCAACACTCTTTTTTTGGAGGACATGACTGAACTCATCACAGTAAGTAAAGCCCTTAGCTTGGTGCCAGTGCCTTGTAAGTATTTGATAAATATTAGCTATTATTATTACTTCTGAGGCTCAAAGGAGAGACAAAGTAAATAAAGTCCCTTTGCAAATCATAAGCAGTGGGCAGTGCTATTGGTATTTTCTTTGTTTGTACTAATAAGAGGTGCCTTCTGACAGATGTGAGACGCAGACATCCTCAAGGAAAGAGCTAGCATGGCGATAATGCATAACTTCACATGCAGGTGGTAGACACAGAGGGCAAGGAGAGAGGACAAACCATGCCAGGGCAGGAATCTTCCATCCATGATTGATGGCCAGCTGTGGGACAAGCTGCAGACATTCCTGGAGCAGGGCTCAGGGTGTGGGTGCTCAGCCAGGACCAACCCAGGGCAAAGCTGGAAAGAAAATAGCCCCGTCTTTGGTCTCCCAGTTAAGGCCATCTGACTACTCCTGTATGTTCTCTCAGCTCCTGGTGTTCCCAGCAATCCTTGATGTTGGTTGGCTCCGTAGCTATGTCACTCCTGTTTCTGCCTTTCTCATCATATGGCCTTCTCTCTGTGTCTGTCTCTGTGTCTCTTCTCTTCTTATCAGGACAGTAGTCATATTGGATTGGGGCCCATCCTAATGACGTCATGTTAACTTGCATCTGCAAGAATCCCATTTCCAAATAAGGTCACAAGGTCCTGTTGACTCTACCTCCAAAAGATGTTCCAGTCCCAGTTCCCTCCATGGCTCTTGTCCAAACCATCACCATCTTTCACCTGGACAGTCATGACGGCATCCTCATTGGCCTCCCTCTTCTCCCTTTGCCCCCTGCCTTCCACCCTCCTACCACCGCTTCCTCTTGTTCCCCAAGCTCCGCCTCCCTGGTTTCTTTTTGTGTCTCTAACGCATCAGGCTTGATCCTGCCTCCGGATCTTTGCACTGGGCCTGTTCCCTCTCTGCGGAAAGTCCTTTCTCAGTTCTTGGCCTGACTTCCTTCCCTCTCATAATTCATGCCAATTTCTGTTCAGATGTCTTCCCTGACTACTCTGTTTAAAGGAGCTCCTTTCCCTAGTCCCTCTCACTACATTCATGTCTTGTCTTCTCAATACCTTGATCGGAAATTATCTTGTACTTTATGTATTTCCTTGTATGTCTGTTTCTGCCACTAGAACATAACAAGCTCTAAGAGATCACGAATTATGATCGTCTTGTTCAGTGCTGCATCTTTATGCCAAGAACAGAGTGTGGAATACAGTAGGAGCTTAGTAATATTTGTTGCATGAATGAAAATCACCTCTGAGACCAATACGACCTGGAGTGTGCGGGAAAAGGCATCAGGAAATTCGGCACCAAGTCCTTCCCACCACTCGTCCATTGGTCCTTGGTTTTGATAAATAAGCCTCTGCCTTGTTCCTGGAACCCAGTCCCTGCTTTCTCAGTTTGTTTATTCAACAATTGTTAAGGACCTACAAGGTGCCACGTACTGTAACAGGTATTGGAGAGGCAGATTTTAAAAGCATGGTAGATGGAAGCACAGACAAGACATCTACCTAGACCTGGAGTGGGAGGACAGCCAGGAAGACTTCCTGGAGGAGAGGGCACCCCAGCTTGCATTTGAAAGTCAGACAGACAGGGTGTGGCAACCAGGCAGCAGTACAGGGGAACAGACAAGGCTGAGACATATTCATAGTTGTCACCTACTCAACATTGCCAAGCCTTGTTCAAAGCACCTGGAAAGGATGATCTCATCTGTCCACGTGGCAACCCTAGAGGCAGGTCCTTTTACTGTCCATACGTGGCAGAGGAAGGAACTGATTTAGAGAGAGGTGCGGGCTTGTCTAAGGGGACACAGCTAGTATGTGCAGGTTCTCAGGCTCCATGTGGGCTTCTGTGCTCTCTGGCTGGTACCCTTGCCTCTTGTCATGCCGCACACTAGGAAATGGCCTGAGATCCTGAGTCCTTGCTCTGCACTCATACTGGACCCTGCCCTCCTTCCTCGAGGGCTGCCTGACTCAGGGATCATCAAGGTCATCCTGGTGGTGACAGCCTGGCTCCTGGGCCTCTTTGATGTTCGATTGTCCAAATCTTGGCTTTCCTCACATTCTTGGCTGTTCTGTCCTGGACCCTGTGCCCAGCAGACCCTCCTTGTGATTCACTTAGGATGCTTTTGGCTGCAAGTGAGGGAAACCCCAACCCAACCTGCCTCCCACAAGGAATGTAATTAACTCTGGAGACAGGTGTGGGGTCCTGCATCTACTCGGCCTCCAGCAGCCGCCTGCTGCATCCTGGGACCTGTCTACCTTCATCCTCATTAGACAGAGACAGGAGCTGCCGAGGCTGCCCACTGAGGTCCTCGGGCCCAAGGAACCATCTCTCTGTTTGCCTCAATACAGCCACCAGAGTGACTGAGGACCATGGAGATTGAGAGCCCCAGGAAATACTCCTTACCTGGGCTTTCACAGCCCGAGAGACCACCAGGATGAACCCCACACACAGCTGCCACCAGGAACCACAGCCCCGGGTCAGGACAGTGAATTTAGATAAGATGCTCTGGAAGGAACACCTGCCCAGTAACAGCACCTCTACCAATGAACTGACTCCAATGCTGGCTTCGAGGCTCTAAAATCAGTAAACTCTGTTTCCCAGCAGCTTATGTGAATGTCTCCTTTTGCCAATAAAAGTTTCTCTCTTCAGATGCATATGTGGCTGGTTATAGCTGTGTGTGTGTGTGTGTGTGTGTGTGTGTGTGTGTGTGTGTGTGTAGTGGGCGACGAGGGGGCGGTTAGAATTCTCTTTTCTAATTCCCTAATAATTGCAACATATCTAGAGATATTTTTTCTCTGATTTGTTTTTGGTTGACAATACCCCACCTCAATAGCACCTTCCCATCATTCTCTTCTCTTTCTCTTTCTCCTCCTTTCCTCCCCTCTTCATTCTCTTCTCTTCCTACCCCTCCCCCTTCTCCACTTTCTTCCCCAACTCTCCCTCCTCCTCTGTCCTCTTCATCATTCTCCTCTCCTCCTTCCCGTCCTCCTCTTCCTCTTCTTCCTCTTTCTCCCACTCTGCTTATTTTACTTTAATGCACTCATCGCCCACTCATCACCCACTGATACAACCCTTATTTGTTTGTTTATTATCTTCCTAAATCATTAGCCTTGCAGCTCCTCGAGGACAGAACTTTTATCTGTTTTGTTCTTTGTTATTTGGGAGCCAGATGACAATGGTTCTAATTTTGAAAAAGTGTATTATTAATGTCATTTCCCCTCCACATTTTAACACCTCTGAAATTGGGATATTTGTTAAAATCACCACTGGCCTGGCAGCAGTCATAAGGTAGTTGTCACATCATGTGCATTATAATCAGAATTTCCAGAACAGGTACAAGCAGCTGGAAAGAAAATCCCAAGACAATAGCAAAGCGTTCTTTTAAGGAATGTTGCATTACACAGAGGCACTGAGGACAGCATTGTGTGTCAAACAAGGACAAACGTGATTTTGAATCAAAAAGTGATTCAGAAGATTTAGTTGCTGAATAGGAAGATGCTTAAGGAGTATCTGAACCCAATTATTTTGCATATTTTTTCTTTTATGTATTCACAAGTGAGATAGGTGATACAGCTCTCTATTTAAAGAACCTAAATAACTTTTATAAATATAAAGTTTAAAAAAATCTAAGTATGATGAAAACAGAAGGGTGTAGTTTAATTGGGGAGGGTTTTGTTCTTTAGTTGTATATAAAAATCATGCATCTTACAAATGATGATGGATGAAATTGGGGGTCAGCAATCTTTTTACATAAAAGGTCAAATAGTAAATATTTTTGGCTTCCCAGGCCATCCAGTCTCTATTGCAACTACTTAACTCTGCTGCTGTGCAACCATAGATATTGCTTAAATAAACATGCGTGGCTATGTTCTCATAACATTTTATTTATGGAATTTTAATTTCATAATTTTCATGCGGCATGAAATGTTATTCTTTTGATTTTTTAACCATTTAAAAATGTGAGGAAATAGTCTTAGCGCATGGGCTGTGCAAAAATGGGCCTTTTGGCTGATGTTTGTTGAATCCTGTGTTGAATTCAATGAAAGGTGGTAAACCTGTTTTACAGAGGAGAAAGTCAAGTCCAGAAGAGTCATTGAAATGTCTTGCTCAAGAGAAAAGAATCCTGGATCTGGCAGCTCTCTTAGACATTATCTCTTTCAATTAGTTATAGGTGTCTGTGCCCACTCTGCAGATGGAAAGGCCAAGAGCATTGTACGGTTCAGTGTCACAAAGTGAGCTGCTGGCATTGCTGGGAGGAGGCTTGGTGTTTCAAACTGTGTTTCAAAGATACAGTAATGAGTGTAGAAGTGCTGAATACAATTCAAGGCACGTGTTAAAATTTTACTAATTCGGTGGCTGGCGAGATGGCCGAATAGGAACAGCTCTGGTCTGCAGCTAGCTCCCAGTGAAATCAATGCAGAAGGCGGGTGATTTGTGCATTTCCAACTGAGGTACCCAGCTCATCTCACTGGGACTGGTTAGACAGTGGGTGTAGCCCATGGAGGGTGAGCTGAAGCAGGGTGGGGTGTCACATCACCCAGGAAGCACAAGGGATTGGGGAACTCCCTCCCCTAGCCAAGGGAAGCTGTGAGGTACTGTGCCATGAGGAATGGCGCATTCTGGCCCAGATACTATGCTTTTCCCACAGTCTTTGCAACTTACAGACCAGGAGATTCCCTCGGGTGCCTACACCACCAGGGCCCTGGGTTTCAAGCACAAAACTGGGCGGCTGTTTGGGAAGACACTGAGCTAGCTGCAGGAGTTTTTTTTTTCATACCCCAGTGGCAACTGGAATGCCAGCAAGACAGACCATTCACTCCCCTGGAAAGGGAGCTGAAGCCAGGGAGCCAAGCGGTCTACCTCAGCAGATCCCACCCCCACAGTGCCCAGCAAGCTAAGATGCACTGTCTTGAAATTCTTGCTGCCAGCACAGCAGGCTGAAGTTGACCTGGGACACTCAAGCTTGGCGGAGGGGAGGGGCGTTCGCCATTACTGAGGCTTGAGTAGGTGGTTTTCCCCTCACAGCGTAAACAACGCCGATGTGAAGTTTGAACTGTGTGGAGCCCACTGCAGCTTGGCAAATCTGCTGTAGCCAGACTGCCTCTCTAGATTCTTCCTCTCTGGGCAGGGCATCTCTGAAAGAAAGGCAGCAGCTCCAGTCGGGGGCTTATAGATAAAACTCCCATCTCCCTGGGACAGAGCACCTGGGGAAAGGGGCAGCTGTGGGCGCAGCTTCAGCAGACTTAAACTTTCCTGCCTGGTGGCTCTGAAGAAAGCAGCGGATCTCCCAGCACAGTGCTTGAGCTCTGCTAAGGGACAGACTGCCTCCTCAAGTGGGTCCCTGACCCCTGCGCCTCCTGACTGGGAGACACCTCCCAGCAGTGGTCGGACATCTCATACAGGAGAGCTCTGGCTGGCATCTGGCGGGTGCCCCTTTGGGACAAAGCTTCCAGAAGAAGGAACAGGCAGCAGTCTTTGCTGTACTGCAGCCTCTGCTGGTGATACCCAGGCAAACGGTCTGGAGTGGACCTCCAGCAACTCCAGCAGACCTGCAGCAGAGGGGCCTGACTGTTAGAAGGAAAACTAACAAGCAGAAAGAAATTGCATCAACATCAACAAAAAGGATGTCCACACAAAAACCCCACCAGAAGGTCACCAACATCAAAGACCAAAGGTAGATAAGTCCATAAAGGCGAGGAAAAACCAGCGCAAAAAGGCTGAAAATTCCAAAAACCGGAAGCCTCTTCTCCTCCAAAGGATCACCACTCCTCGCAGGCAAGGGAACAAAACTGGACAGAGAATGAGTTGGACAACTTGACAGAAGTAGGCTTCAGAAGGTGGGTAATAACAAACTCCTCTGAGCTAAAGGAGCATGGTCTAACCCAATGCAAGGAAGTGAAGAACCTTGAAAAAAGGTTAGAGGAATTGCTAACTAGAATAACCAGTTTAGAGAAGAACATCAATGACCTGATGGAGCTGAAAAACACAGCATGAGAACTTCGTGAAACATACACAAGTATCAACAGCTGACTTGGTCAAGTGGAAGAAAGAAAGGATATCAGAGACTGAAGATCAACTTAATGAAATAAAGCAAGAAGACAGGATTAGAGAAAAAAGAATAAAAAGGAACGAACAAAACCTCCAAGAAATATGGGACTATGTGAAAAGACCAAACCTATGTTTGATTGGTGTACCTGAAAGTGACAGGGAAAATGGAAACAAGTTGGAAAACACTCTGCAGGATATTATCCAGGAGAACTTCCCCAACCTAGCAGGACAGTCCAACATTCAAATTTGGGAAATACAGAGAACAAAGCAAAGACACTCCTCGAGAAGAGCAACCCCAAGACACGTAATCGTCAGATTCGCCAAGGTTAAAATGAAGGAAAAAATGTTAAGGGCAGCCAGAGACAAAGGTTGGGTTACCCACAAAGGGAAGCCCATCAGACTAACAGCGGATCTTTCTGCAGAAACCCTACAAGCCAGAAGAGAGTGGGGGCCAATATTCAACATTTTTAAAGAAAAGAATTTTCAACCCAGAATTTCATATCCAGCCAAACTAAGCTTCATAAGCGAAGGAGAAATAAAATCCTTTACAGACAAGCAAATGCTGAGAGATTTTGTCACCACCAGGCCTGCCTTACAGGAGCTCCTGAAGGAAGCACTAAATATGGAAAGGAAAAACCAGTACCAGCCACTGCAAAAACATACCAAATTTTAAAGACCATTGGCACTATGAAGAAACTGAATCAACGAACGGGCAAAATAACCAGCTAGCATCATGATGACAGGATCAAATTCACACATAACAATATTCACCTTAAATGTAAAAGGGCTAAATGCCCCAATTAAAAGACACAGACTGGCAAATTGGATAAAGAGTCGAGAACTCCCATGTGTTGTATTCAGGAGACCCATCTCATTGAAAAGACACACATAGGCTTAAAATAAAGGAATGGAGGAATATTTACCAAGCAAATAGAAAAAAAAAGTAGGGGTTGCAATCCTTATTCTCTGATAAAACAGACTTTTAACCAAAAAAGATAAAAAAAAGACAAAGGAGGGCATTACATAATGGTAAAGGGATCACTGCAACAAGAAGAGCTAACTATCATAAATATATATGCACCCAATACAGAGCACCCAGATTCATAAAGCAAGTTCTTAGAGACCTACAAAGAGACTTAGACTTTCACACAATAATAGTGGGAGACTTAAACACCCCATTGTCAATATTAGACAGATCAACGAGACAGAAAATTAACAAGGATATTCAGTACTTGCACTCAGCTCTGGACCAAGTGGACCTAATAGACATCTCCAGAACTCTCCACCCCAAATTAACAGAATATACATTCTTTCAGCACCACATAGTACTTATTCTAAAATTGACCACATAATTGGAAGTAAAACACTCCTCAGCAAATGCAAAAGAATGGAAATCATAACAGTCTCTCAGACCACAGTGCAATCAAATTAGAACTCAAGATTAAGAAATTCACTCAAAACCACACAACTGCATGGAAACTGAACAACCTGCTCCTGAATGACTACTGGGTAAATAATGAAATTAAGGCAGAAATAAATAAGTTCTTTGAAACCAATGAGAACAAAAACACAATGTACCAGAATCTCTGGGACACAGCAAAAGCAGTGTTTAGAGGGAAATTTATAGCACTAAATGCCCACAGGAGAAAGCAAAAAAGATCTAAAATCAACACCCTAACATCACAATCAAAAGCAATAGTGAAGCAAGAGCAAACACATTCAAAAGCTAGCAGAAGACAAGAAATAACTAAGATCAGAGCAGAACTGAAAGGATAGAGACACAAAAATGCCTTCAAAAAATCAATGAACATATGAGCTGGTTTTTTGAAAACATTAATAAAATACATAGACCGCTAGACAGACTGATAAAGAAGAAAAGAGAGAAGAATCAAATAGACACAAAAAAATGACAAAGGGGATAACACCACTGATCCCACAGAAATACAAACTACCATCAGAGAATACTATAAACACCTCTACACAAATAAACTAGAAAACTTAGAAGAAATGGATAAATTTTTGGACACATACACCCTCCCAAGACTAAACCAGGAAGAAGTTGAATCCCTAAATAGACGAATAACAGTTCTGAAATTGAAGCAGTAATTAATAGCCTACCAACCAAAAAAACAGCCCAGGACCAGATGGATTCACAGCCCAATTCTACCAGAGGTACAAAGAGGAGCTGGTACCATTTCTTCTGAAACTATTCCAACATTAGAAAAAGAGGGACTCCTCCCTAACTCATTTTATGAGGCCAGCATCATCCTGACACCAAAACCTGGCAGAGACACAACAAAAAAAGAAAATTTCAGGCCAATATCTCTGATGAACATTGATGTGAAAATCCTCAATAAAATACTGGCAAACTGAATCCAGCAGCACATCAAAAAGCTTATCCACCACAATCAAGTTGGCTTTATACCTGGGATGCAAGGCTGGTTCAACATATGCAAATCAATAAATATAATTCATCACATAAACAAAACCAATGACAAAAACCACATGATTATCTCGATAGATTCTGAAAAGGCCTTCGATAAAATTCAACAACGCTTCATGCTAAAAACTCTCAATAAACTAGGTATTGATGGAATGTATCTCAAAATAGTAAGGGCTATTTATGACAAACCCACAGCCAATATCATACTGAATGGGCAAAAGTCGAAGCATTCCCTTTTAAAACCGGCACAAGACAAGGATGCCCTCTCTCACCACTCCTATTCAAGATAGTATTGGAAGTTCTGGCCAGGGCAATCAGGCAAGAGAAAGAAATAAATGGTGTTCAAATAGGAAGAGAGGAAGTTAAATTGTCTCTGTTTGCAGATGACACAATCGTATATTTAGAAAACCCCATCGTCTCAGCCCCAAATCTCCTTAAGCTGATAAGCAACTTCAGCAAAGTCTCAGGATACAAAATCAATGTGCAAAAATCACAAGCATTCCTATACACCAATAATAGAGAGCCAAATCATGAGTGAACTCCCATTCACAATTGCTACAAAGAGAATAAAATATCTAGAATACAACTTACAAGGATGTGAAGGACCTCTTCAAGGAGAACTACAAACCACTGCTCAAGGAAATAAGAGAGGACACAAACAAATGGAAAAACATTCCCTGCTCATGGTTAGGAAGAATCAATATCATGAAAATGGCCTTACTGCCCCAAAGTAATTTATAGATTCAATGCTATCCCCATCAAGCTACTAATGACTTTCTTCACAGAATTAGAAAAAGCTACTTTAAATTTCATATGGAACCAAAAAAGAGCCTGTATAGCCAAGACAACCTTAAGCAAAAGAACAAAGCTGGAGGCATCACGCTACCTGACTTCAAACTATATTACAAGGCTACAGTAACCAAAACAGCATGGTACTGGTACCAAAACAGGTATATAGACCAATGGAACAGAACAGAGGCCTTAGAAATAATGCCACACATCTACAACCATCTGATCTTTGACAAACCTGACAAAAACAAACAATGGGGAAAGGATTCCCTATTTAATAAGTGGTGTTGGGAAAACTGGCTAGCCATATGCAGAAAACTGAAACTGGACCCCTTCCTTACACCTTATAAAAAAATTAACTCAAGATGGATTAAAGACTTCAATGTAAGACCTAAAACCATAAAAACCCTTGAAGAAAACCTAGGCAATACCATTCAGGACATAGGCATTGGCAAAGACTTTGTGACTAAAACACCAAAAGCAATTGCAACAAAAGCCAAAATTGACAAATGGGATCTAATTAAAGAGCTTCCGCATAGCAAAAGAAACTATCATCAGAGTGAACAGACAACCTACAGAATGGGAGAAAATTTCTGCTATCTATCCATCTGACAAAGGGCTAATATCCAGAATCTACAAGGAACTTAAATTTACAAGAAAAAAACCAACCTCATCAAAAAGTGGGCAAAGGATTTGAACAGACAATTCTCAAAAGAAGAAATTTATGCAGCCAACAAACATATGAAAAAAACCTCATCATCACTGGTCATTAGAGAAATGCAGACAAAACCACAATGAGACACCATCTCATGCCAGTTAGAATGGTGATCATTAAAAAGTCAGGAAACAACAGATGCTGGAGAGGATGTGAAGAAATAGGAATGCTCTTACACTGTTGGTGGGAGTGTAAATTAGTTCAACCATTGTGGAAGAGTGTGGCGATTCCTCAAGGATCTAGAACCAGAAATACCATTTGACCCAGCAATCCCATTACTGGGTATATACCTAAAGGATTATAAACCATTCTATAAAGACACATGCACACATATGTTTATTGCAGCACTATTCACGATAGCAAAGACTTGGAACCAACCCAAATGCCCATCAATAACAGACTAGATAAAGAAAATGTGGCACATATACACCATGGTATACTATGCAGTCATAAAAAAGGATGAGTTCATGTCCTTTGCAGGGACGTGGATGAAGCTGGAAACCATCATTCTCAGCAAACTCACACAGGAACAGAAAACCAAACACTGCATGTTCTCACGCATAGGTGGGAGCTGAACAGTGAGAACACATGGACACAGGGAGGGGAACATCACACCTGGGGACCTGTTGGGGAGTGGGGCTGGGCGGGGGACAGCATTAGGAGAAATACCTAATGTAGATGACAGGTTGATGGGTGCAGCAAACCATGGCACATGTATCCCTATGTAACAAACCTGCACGTTCTGCACATGCATCCCAGAACTTAAAGTATAATAATAATAAAAAAATTTACTAAGTTTACTCCCCCTTCCTGCTTTGTCTTCTCTTTAGCCAACCTTCCAACCTTTTTTTTTTTTTTTTTTGAGACGGAGTCTCGCTCTGTCACCCAGGCTGGAGTATAGTGGCGCAATCTTGGCTCACTGCAAGCTCTGCCTCCCGGGTTCACACCATTCTCCTGCCTCAACCTCCCGAGTAGCTGGGACTACAGGTGCCTGCCACCACGTCCGGCTAATTTTTTGTATTTTTAGTAGAGACGGGGTTTCACCGTGTTAGCCACGATGGTCTCGATCTCCTGACGTCGTGATCCGCCCCCCTCGGCCTCCCAAAGTGCTAGGATTACAGGCTTGAGCCACCGCGCCCGGCCCCTTTCAACGTTTTTGTCAAGGGAGAAGGCAGGCCCTAGCCCCAAGGCTCTGCGCTCCTTCTAACCCCACTGGGGCTGGAATGCCCCCCGCCCCAACGTGTGGCACCAGGAGTGGGGGGCACAGCTCTGCGACCTGTGCCTGTACCCCCTCCTCCTGCCCCACTCTGAAGCTGTCTGTGCTTTTTCGAGCCATCACCTAGGCTCTGCCTTCCTCCCCTCACCTCTTTCTCGCTTGCTCCCGCGCGCTCTCTCCACTTAGTGGTTCATTTACTGCTCAATCTGTGATTAATTAAAACAATTTAAATAACTGTGCTGACGCTAAATTCATTTCCAGCCACCTCCGCCGCGCAGGGCTGCGTGAGCACAGGAGAGCCGCGGTGCGGGCTCGCGCTGACCGCCAGGGGGAGCTGTGGTCTCAGGTTTGACTGGAAGCTTGGCGTCGGATGGCGGGGTTGGGTGCAGGAAAAAGGTTAAAACATGCAAGTTCTCCCCTCCCGCCCACTTTGCCTTCTTCCACCTGGGATTCTACCGTGTCCGTGCCCTCGCAGTCCCCAAAGATTCGCTGGGTTAATCCAGAATAAAAAATGTCAGGGAAGCAAACTCCTTTCTCCTGCCTGAGGTCAGCCCCAGGATATTCCCAGAACACCTGGGGCCCGGGGACCAGGAAGGTCATGCTTGCAGGAGGGGAAACACAGGCACAGACTGTGAGAAAGGAAGACCTGCCCATGGCCTCCCTTGGTGGGGGAAGGGTAGATCCTAAATTCAATGACTGGTGTCCTTATAAGAGGAGGGGACACAGAGAGACACATATACTGTGTCAAGGGCCGGGCGCAGTAGCTTACGCCTATAATCCCAACATTTTGGGACGCAGAGGCAGGTGGATCACCTGAGGTCAGGAGTTTGAGACCAGCCTGGCCAACATGGTGAAACCCCGTCTCTACTCAAAATACAAAACATTAGCTGGGCATGGTGGCAGGCGCCTGTAATTCCAGCTACTTGGGAGGCTGAGGCAGGAGAATTGCTTGAACCCAGGTGGCAGAGGTTGCAGTGAGCCAAGATTGCACCATTGCACTCTAGTCTGGGCGACAGAGCAAGACTCTGTTTCAAAAAAAAAAAAAAATGCCATGTGAAGATGGGGCAGTGATTGGTGTGATGCTGCCATGAGCAAGGGAACCCAAAAACTGGAAGAGACAAGGAAAGATCCTTCCCTGATCCTTCAGAGGGAGCGTGGCCCTGCCAACACCTCAATTTCAGGCTGCTAGCCTCCAGAACTGTGAGAGAATAAAAATAAGCTGGTTTAAGCCTCCCAATTTGTGGTCGTTTGTTATGGCAGGGCTAGGAAACTGTGACAAGGTGTTAGAAAGAAACCAGTATCTAGGAGCCTACTCAGTGCTGGGCGCTTTGCTAGATGGGTTCATGAACGTTTTCTCATTTAAGCCTCACCACAGTCACGTGCTGCAGGTTAAATTAACATCCTCATCTGTCTTGCAGGGCCAAACAGCTGGGAAGAGGCAGAACCAGGTTCAAGAGCAGGCCAGCCTCGGTCGGCAACTGGGGGTCTCAGCAGGTTGCCTACCTCATGCTCTAGGGCCCCGCCGTTTCCTGGAACCTTGCCTTGAACAGAAATGAGAACAAGGATGTGTAAGTTTGCTGGGTAGGGGAGGGACAAGAGCTCAGACATGGTCAGGAGGACCAGGCACGGCTGGAGGATGCTTGCTGTGTGGGCATGCTCTGGTGGAGAGAAGACAGCTCCACCCAGGCTGCTCCCTCACACAGAACTTCAGGACTCTGCACTCGGGAGCAGTGGCCCGCCTTATGGGTTAGCATGGTATGAGATTGGTATGAGTCAAAGTGACCTTGGGTAAGTGACTTCACTTCTCCATGCCTCGAATCTCACTGGGGCCAATTTTGCCCCCCAGGAAACACTTGGCAATATCTAGAGATATTTTTGCTTGTCACAACTGGGTGGAGGGTGCTACTGGCTTTGAGTGGGTAGAGACCAGGGATGCCGGCCAATGTCCTGCAATGTACGAGACAGGCCCTTACGACAAAGAATTATCCAGCCCAAAGGTCAATAGTGCCAAAGCTGAGGGACTGTCTCTACACAGTCTGCCCCATCAGTTCCCTTAGCTCATCCCCAGCCACTGTCCCCTGGCCCCCTCCACTTAGCCACACTGGCCTCCTCTGTGCCCCGAACATACCCTTTCTGAGAGCATTTACACTGGCTAGTTCATCCTCTCTGCCTGGCTGGCTCATTCCATGTCCTCCAGGCCTTTGCTCAGACGCCACCTTCTCAATGGGATCTAGTCCAACCACCCTATTTACAGCTGCAACCTGCGCCTCCTCCGTGGCCCTTTCATCTGTCTTATCCTGCTTTAAAAAAAATTTTGTAGCATGGATCACCTTCTAACATTCTCGGTATATTACTTATTTCCTGTATTTCTTGTCTGTCAACAAATAATTCTATTTTTGGTTTATTTTATCAACTGGTGTGTTTCCAGTGCCTAAAACAATGCTCGGGACATAATAGGTGCTCAATAAATATTTATTGAATCAAACAATGTCCCTTTATTAGACTTCTTTTTCTTTTTTTATTTTTTGAGATGGGGGTCTCCCTCTGTCACTCAGGCTGGAGTGCAGTGGTGTGATGTCAGCTTACTGCAGCCTCCGCCTCCTGGGTTCAAGCAATTCTCCCACCTCAGCCTCCTGAGTAGCTGGGATTACAGGGGCACGCCACCACACCTGGCTAATTTTTTGCATTTTAAGTAGAGATGGGGTTTCATCATCTTGGCCAGGCTGGTCTCGAACTCCTGACCTCGGGTGATCCGCCTGCCTCGACCTCCCAAAGTACTGGGATTTACAGGCGTGAGCCACCGCGCCTGGCCCTAGTAGATTTCTAATACACTTGGGAACACTCAAGGCCCTGGGAAGTCGGACAGTAAAGGAACCGATGTGGTTTTGTCTTACCCAGAGCTTCTCAGTCTCACTTGACCATGGAATCCACTCTCTCTCTCCCGCTTCATTCCCATTGACTCCAGCCATTCTGCAGGGCACACTCTGACAGTTGCTGTCCTGTTCCAGCCCTGTCCAGAGGATATATGCGGGCAAAGATTCTGAAAAGAAGAATTAGGGAGCTTTAGGACAAAGCAGTGGGGGCAGAACTTCCACCGGGACAGCTCCATGGGGACAGATGCACCGAGCCTGGCCCAGATGGGCAGATGCAAGCTCTGGATACTGAACGCTGGCTGGGTGGGAGAGAGGCTCAGCTGGGCGGCACCCTGCGTCACACCTGTGTAAATACCATGTTTTATGAGTCCAGGAAAGAACAAGCCTGCATGTGCTCAGGGGCATTCTTTGGAGGATCTGGGAAAATAAACCCTCGCCTACTTTCCCTGATGTAACAGAAAACTGGCAGTAGTTGTGTGAAAAATCAGGGTGTGTGTTTAGAAGACACTGAGCTGCTTGGGCGTCTCTTCTGAGGCCGTGTGCTGGGAAGTGGTGTCTGGGGAACCAGGACTGCTGGGCTTGAGGGGATGCTGGCATGGCAGCCTTTATCCAGAGGACGAGGAGGAGAGGGTGAGGGGCCGGATGCCCAGCCAAAGCAGGGGGACACTAAAAATGCAGAAGAGGACATGCAGCGAGTGGGTGGGTAGGTTTAATCACTGTGACCATCGAGGCCAGAGGTAAGGTTCGTGGGAGAAGCTTACCAGGAGGGACAGCTTCAGCCCTAGATAATCCAGAATCTCCCAAGGCTAGGAACACTTTCTGGATGACTGAGCCTAATGAAGCACAGCACTGCTGTTCCCAGATGTGCTCAACCAGGGCCCTGTGGCCAGCTGGCTGTGTTCACGCAGTTCTGTGCCTGGGACCTCACTCTTCCCTGCAATGTGGTGGTGAAATGTAGAGCCAGACCCCAGTTCAAATCTTGACTCCTTGGTGACTCGCTGTGTGACCCTGTGCAAGTTACTTAACCTCTCTGTGTCCTCTCTGCTTCCTTGTTACTAAAATGGGGTAATACTGTCCCCACTACACAGGGCTGTTGTGAAGATTAAATGAGGTAGTTCCTAATGAGAGTCTGGGCTGCCCTGTATGTAGAAAGGGCAACATGAATGGCGTTTTTGGTATTCCAGCTCTCCATTTGGAGTCCTCTCCTCCAGGCTCGCAGTCCCGTTGGCCCTGTCACTGGCCCTGCTCTGACCTTTGGTTCAGGTTTCCTGGGTCTTCTTCCCTCACTCTGGATACTTTGGTTCCCCAGGCCTGGGTCCCCAACTCTAATTTTGGCTGACTTTGATCTCATCTGCTGGATCTATAATGAGCATGGCTGGTCACTAGTCTAATATAGTATTAGTATCATAGCAATTAAAGACATGGAGGCTGGACATGAAAAAGAATGAGATCATGTCTTTTGCAGGGACATGGTTGAAGCTAGAAACCATCATTCTCAGCAAACTAACACAGGAACAGAAAACCAAACACCACATGTTCTCACTCATAAGTGGGAGTTGAACAATGTGAACACATGGACACATGGAGGGGAACATCACACACCGGGGTCTGTCAGGGGTTTGGGGGCAAGGGGAGGGAGAGCATTAGGACAAATACCTAATGCATGCCGGGCTTAAAACCTAGATGATGGGTTGATAGGTGCAGCAAACCACCACGCCACATTAACAAACCTGCATGTTCTGCACGTGTATCCCAGAACTTAAAGTAAAATTTATATATATATGTATGTATGTATCTTACAAATAAAAAGAATAAAGACATGGAGGCTGGAGTCAGGGAGACAAAAGAGACCCAGTCTCGAATTCTAGCTCTTCTACTTCGTAGCTGTGTGAGCTTGGATCAATCACTTAACCTCTCTGCACCTCGGTTTTCTCATCTATAAAATGGAGATGAATAACAATACTTACCTCATAAAATTACTAGGTGAGTTATGTATGAAAAGTGCTTATAATAGTGCCTGGCAGATGATAAGAGTTCAGGAAGGGTTAGCTATGATTACTGGCATCATCATTATTGCTGTGGTTTCTGCTATTCTGGGTTCAAACCCTGGCCCTGCTGTGTGACCTGGGGTAAGTCACTGCCCTGCTCTGGGGCTCAGAATCATCATCTGCTCCCTGGAGCATCCCCGCCCCCACCAACTTTTTTTTCTTTCTTTTGTTAACTGTGTGCCCATTTTCCAAACTCTGATGAGGTCCTGGTTTCCCAGCTGCCTTCTGGCCCAGGTCTTCTGAGAGACCCATCCTGGCCTGGGTGTCTGAGTGCTAAACTCAGGGTCCTTAGGCTCTTGAGTGTCTGTATTAGTGGCCTGCACAGAAAACCCTGCCTGGGGTTTCCCTGCCAAAGCCTAGAACCCTATTCCCACCCCAGGAGGATTCTGTGTGAGGACAAGAGGACTCCCTTATTGGGAGGGATGCCTTCACTGGGAGGGACTCCTTTACTGGGAACACCCTTGACACTTCCTTCCGGCTCTGGGCACCTAAGGCTGTTGTCAGATTCACTGCTAGCTTTTCTGGCTTCCATAGCTTCCATGGATATGTCAGAAGCCATTGAGCCTATCTGATCTGGAACAGCATCAGCTCAGAACACGGGAAGGAAGTCAAACTGCCATCTAACCTTGGGGTCATCCCTGGATGTTGTCATCCATCCAACAAATATTAATTGAACACCTAATCAAGCTAGGCACCATTTTAGAGACTACGGATAGAGAATCAAAACAGAGCTCTTAGCCTCTGGAAGACTGATTACTACTGGTCACCATCCTCTTCTTCCCTTCCTGCAAGATGATCATACTTCCGGGTCCCATTGAATGTGGGCTTCATTCATTCAGAATAAAGTCTGCACAGAATTATGTATGCCAGCGTTCATGCTTTGCCACGTTCTCTTTTCCGTCTGGCAAGTCATCTGCTACATTCTGGATAGTGACTCTCCATCATCCTGGGTCTTAGAGTGAGGACCATCGTGGCATGGGAGCAGACCCCATAGCTGATGTAGGGCCTGATGGACCACAGCAAGGACATGGGATTTGATCCCAGGGGTACTGGGAAGCTGTGGGAGGGCAGACAGCAGGGATATGGCATGATCTCACTTATTTTACAAAAGGTTCCCTCTGGCTTCTCTGTGAAGAGATCACAGGGGGTGAGGGACAAAGCAGGGAAGCCTTGGTGACCTCCCTGTGCCAGGCCACAGGCATGATCCTATTCATTCCCACTCCACCCGGTTAGCCACACCCTGGCAGCACCCCTGGCTCTGAGCTGCCAGAGGAGATGCCCCAGCTGGTCTCCCTGTGCGGCAGCCAATAGGAACCTGGGTAAGGGTCCCTCCTGGGTTTCTGCCCTTGCCACTTCTGCCCTCTTTTGTGTTATAATAACACTCAACCTCCCGTCACCATCAACTCCCACTCACGGGTACCAAACCCTGGATCATCCCTGGTTTATATAACTGGAATTTTCCCCTTGGACTCAATTTCTATGCTCCTGTTCTCTCTGAGCTAGTGGGAGGCTGGGCACTGGGAGTGGGGAGCATTTAGAACTAAGGAAAGTGATGGAGAGGCACATAGTTCTGTTCACATTGCTCACTGAGAACTTGCCCTGCGTAAAGTCCTGGGGAAGAGAGCAATAAATAAGACATCGGCCGGGTGCGGTGGCTCACGCCTGTAATCCCAGCACTTTGGGAGCTGAGGCGGGCAGATCACGAGGTCAGGAGTTCAAGAGCAGCCTGGCCAACATGGAGAAACCCCATCTCTACTAAAAATACAAAAAATTAGCCGGGGATGGTGGCACGTGCCTGTAATCCCAGCTACTCCGGAGGCTGAGGCAGGAGAATCGCGTGAACCTGGGAGGCAGAGGTTGTAGTGAGCTGAGATTGCGCCATTGCACTCTAGCCAGGGCGACAGAGCCAGACTCTGTCTCAAAAACAAAACAAAACTGAAAAACAAGACATCACCAGGACAACCTCCATCCAAGACAAGTCCTTGTTTGCAAGAAACTCGAACTAGTTGGGGAGAAAAACCAGGAGAGAGACAATTTCAGTACTGGTGATAGGAGCCACAATAGAGAAGAATTTGGATGTGGTGGGAGCCTGGGGGAATGCCCGAATTGGTCAGGAGGTGGGGAAAGGGAGGAAGAGGAGGTAGACAACCTGAAGGAGATGCTTGAGCTGACTCTGTGTGTAGTTTTGAAGTTAGCTGGGTGGAAAGGTTTGGGGATAAGACTATTCCAAGCAGGCAAAAAAATCCTAAAGGCACTAGTAGGCTGGGCCTATCAGGGAGCTGTGGGCAGTTAGGCATATGCAGAACGCAGACTAGAATGGAGAGATGTGTTCGTGGGCCCTGATGCTACTCTAAGCTTGGGCTTTATTCCGTAGATCCGAGGTTAGCAAGCCTTTTTTTGTAAAGGAACAGGGAGTCAATATTTTTGGCTTTGTGAATCATACAGTCTCTGTCTCAAACACTTACTGCTGCTATGGTAACATGAAAGTAGCCATTGACAGTGTGTGAGCAAATCAGTGTGGCTGTGTTCTAATAAAACTTTATTTAGAAAAACAGGTAATGTTTGAGTTTGGCCCGTGGGCTGCAGTTTTCTGACTCTGATGCAGACAACTGGGGACACTTGAGCGTCTTAAGAAAGAGATAGGCGGGTTCTTAATGTTGGTTGATTAATCCATTTGATTGTGCATTCAGAAAGCATGTCTTGTGCTCCTCACTGTGCTGAGCACTGGGGGTCTGGGATGAAGGAGATAGAGGTCCCTGACTCCAGACACCACAGTTAATGGGGGAGATAGACTCATATGAGCAATTAGACTGCTGGCTCCATGAGGCCATGGCTCCATGGCTGCTGTCTGTTTCGGTTGATATTATATATGATATCCTCAGAATGTAGCCCATAGTATGTGCTCAATAAATATTCACTGAGTGAATGAATGAATGAATGAGTGCATCCCTCCATCCATCCAGGTTGACTCTGACAAGTGCTATGATAGAGGCACAGGTGCAAGCTTTGACAGGATCTTAGGGGAGTGAGAGATTGACTACCACTGTGTGTGTGGGGGGTGGGGGTGGAGAGAGAGAGAGAGAGAGGTGGGATCTGACGTGGACTCTGAAGGATGGATGGGATTTTCATGTTTGGGTTGGTAGGTCTAGTGGAGGAGCAGGTAGAGGGGAGAGGATGAGCCAGTTTCACTTTTCTACTCTAGCTTTCCCATTTCCTTTGGGTTCTTCTGTTAGAATTCTTGCGACCAAGGCAGGTATGTCCCTAAACACTGGAGTGATGAGCACCCTCAGGAATTATGATCTGCAGAAAAAGCTGCCCACCCTACTTTAACACTGTTAATTGGGAACCCTCAAGCCATTCTGAATCATCGTAGCCAGCCTATCCCTCCTACAGCTTCTGCTATCCCTCCATTAGAAGAAGCCAGATCACAACTTGGTGGGGACAGGCTGAGGCAGTTCATCAAACGAAACCATTTCCTATAGCCACCTTGAGCCTGGGCAGACTGCTCTATAATAGTAATGCCATAAATGCAAAGACAAATGTTATTAACTTTTAGAATTGAGATTTATGATGCTGATTTCAGGGGGATGGAGAGGCTATAGCTGTTTGCTTTTAGGATTTTCTAAACATAGACCATGAAGTTGAGTGGCTGGATCCTGGAATGGTCATGAAGAGAAGGCAGGAGGCCTCCCAGGCTCTGACCCAGCTCTAACCCTAATGCCAGGTAGGTGGTTGGGTCGAAGGAGCCCACCCCGTTTTCCCCATTGTTAACATCTTTACATTACTATGGTACATTTGTCAAAACTAAGAAGCTGAGATTAGTACATTACTATTAACCGAACTGTAGACTTTATTTGGAGTTCATCAGTTTTCAAGAACCGGAAAGCTCAGATGGCTTAAATAATTTTTTTTTTTTTTATATTTTTAGTAGAGATGGGGTTTCACCATCCTGGCCAGGCTGGTCTCAAAATCCTGACCTCGTGATCCACCCGCTTTGGCCTCCCAAAGTGCTGGGATTACAGGCGTGAGTCACCACACCTGGCTTTTTTTTTTTTTTTTTTCCACCTTGGGGCACTTTACTCAAACACCAAGAGGGTCACCTGAGAGTCCTGCAGCCACCCACCCACAGTTCAGCAGTACTCGGAAGCCAGCATCCTTTTTCTCTTCCAGGATCCAATCCACGTCACCACCTGGCATTTAGATGTCATGTCTTCCCCCACCCCTGTCTCCTCTGGTCTATGACAGTTTCTCAGAATACACTTGTATGGAGTCCTTGCTGTATCCTGATGGGTGCTTACAGCTTCCACTTTTGCTCTCTTAACGCTTTTTACCATCTTGTTTCCTCAGTTTTGCATGCTACCCATGTCTCAGCTGTGACTTGGGCTCACGTGTCTGTGATGTGAGCATCCACAGCACTTTTCCCACGAACATCTGAACATCTCAGCGCAGTGACCCATGACAAGCACTGGACTCAGAGGCCCCCAGGCCTATCATCCAGTTTCAACTTTTCCACTTGCTAATTACAGACTTTAGGGCAAATTGCTCGTATCAGCTTGGATTCAAGAACCAGAAAGTTCAGATGGCTTAGATAACGAGGACATGCTGGGAAGTCCTGAGGTTGGAGGGGCCAAGGTTGGCTCATTCAGTGGCTCAGTGACGTCACTGGGGACTCAGGTTTTTTCAGTCTCAATGCTCTTCCACTTTTAGCTTGTATCGGCTCCCCTCGGGGTCACAAGATGACCAAATGTGCACTTAAATTTTCTCCCGCTGCACCTGGAACCTGACGGTCAGTCAGTTCTGCTTTTGAGATCATCTTGCCTCAGTCCACTCGGGTAGGTGCCAGACTGGCTCCTCCTTGTGGCCCGCATCTGGCCCAGCTTTGTCCACATTCTGGGGGACAGGTAGCTCAATCTTGACATGTCGTGCCTCCCTGCCCCTGCTCACTGCTTCAGGCTGGTAGCCACAGCCTCTCACCCCTAGATTCTTTAGGTGTGTGTTGCATGGCAGACCATGGTGTGAAAACCACTCAGACCCAGGGAAGGTCCCCAATGGCCTCCTTGAAGACCATCTCACTGGGCTTGAGGTGAGAGGGAAGTATGCTTACCTCTATTCCACCATCTTGGACAAGGTTTGGCTCTCCAAATAAAAGTCCCTCCGTATCCAAACGCTCCTGAAGCTGCTGCAACTTTTACTGGATCAGAGGTGTGGTCGCCCAAGGATGGGAGAACAGGGATCCCGTGGCAACCTTCATACATCCTGGAGTGGGGATGAGGACTCACCTTGAATATGGAATGTCCTGGGACCTGAAATGGAAACTGAGCTAGAAAGAGTCCTCTTTTAGCATATGTCACACTATTATTATTGACTTTGATGCAATGATTACTATTATTTTAGGGGAAGAATGTGGACCAGAATCCCAGTTTCCTGACTCCCAGAAAGGTCCCTTCATCCACCCCATATTGTGTCTCAGAGGTCCCAGCCAGATGTACTAAGGGACAGGCCCGTCTTCTGGAATCAGCGCCTTTTCTGCTGAAGCAAGCACGCCTTTCTCAGGGAACACAGAGACACACACATACAGATGCTCGCATGCAGAGAAAGCAATTAAAGAAACCAGCGCGGTGACACAGAGACAGTCTGTCAACTGCACCAAGTTGACAAATTTTGCATTGTAAAAACAAAAACAGGAGCTTAACCCCCTCCCACCTCCAGCTAGGAGTGTAACTGAAACAGCATGTCTCTCTTATTGGGAAGCAGAGATGAGTTCTGGCTGGGAAGAGGAGGTCTTGTTAATGGAGGCAACCATCTCCCAGTCAGTAGGGCTCGGGCATGGGGAGCTCATGGTGGGAGAAGGCTCCGCAGAAGCCGGAGCTCAGGGAAAAGAGCTTGACATTTACTGAACTCCTGCACACATGACATGGATGTGATTGCTTCCACCTCACTCTAACCCACATGCAGGAGGAGAACACCTATTTCATAGGCGAAGAGACAGGCTCCAAGAGGTGCAGCTGCTCCTCCACCTCCAGACAATGGCCTACCTCCAGACGATGGCACTGCAAGGGCTCAGACCCAGCTTTGACCGCAAAGCCTCCCTTCTTTGGATCACTGATCTCTGCACTCCACATTTTGACAATCTGTTCACATTTCCTCCTTATAGACACCTCCACTCTGTGCCTTCTGAGTTATTTTACCTTGACCTTGTCTTGTGCCTGGCAGAGCTTGTGTTAAACAACTATTCTGCAAATAGACCCATGGTTAGTGCCAGCAACTATTCTAGATGTTGAGGATTCAGTGGCAGACAAAACAAAATCTCTGCTATGGCGGAGTTTCCTTGCTAGAGGGGAAGACAGAAAGCAGCAAAAAAAAAAAAAGAATCTAATGAGGGCAAACTCTCGCTGTGTGCTGGGCACCATTCTAAATCTTTACATCTTTTTTTTTTTTTTTTTTTTTTTTTTAAACAAAGTCTCCCTCTGTCACCCAGGCTGGAGTGCAGTGGTGTGATCTCAGCTCACTGCAACCTCCACCACGTGGGTTCCAGTGATTCTCGTGCCTCAGCCTCTCGAGTATCTGGGACTACAGGCATGTGCCACCACACCCAGCTAAGTTTCGTATTTTTAGTAGAGAGGGGGTTTCACCATGTTGGCCAGGCTGGTCTCGAACTCCTGACTTCAAGTGATCCACACGCCTCGGCCTCCCAAAATGCTGGGATTATAGGCATGAGCCACCACAGCCGGTCAGTCTTCACATCTTTCGACTCCTGTAATCCTCATGATAACCCCATGGGGCAGATGCTGCTATTTTCTTCATGTTAGGGGTGAGGGTATTGAGACACAGGGAGGTGAGTAGCCTGCAGCCACCCAGCCAGTAGAAAATAGCTGGGGTTGGAACATAGGCAGTCTGGTCCTGGAACCCCTGCTTTTGGCCCTGATGCCACACTCCCTTTCCCTGCAACTAGGGAGCGCTCTGAGGAACGAGCAGGTGGGCACCCAGGAGGATGAAGCTGCTCTTGTGGACTTGGAGGGTGGTCAGAGAGAAGACCTCTTTGAGGGGTGATGTTGAACAGTCTCTCCTTTCTGTGTGGAAGGGATGCCAGGAGTGCCCACTCTTCAAGTACTAGAGCCCTGGGACGTAGCAGTGGTCCATGACCCCAGACACCCAGTGTTCACAGCTCTTTTCTATGCAGCAACATGGAATACAGAGCACCAAGGATTTTCCCTGACAAATAGATCCTTTGAAAAATTCATGTTTTAAATACATGATCATCGTGCTAACATCTCTTTTCCTCAATTTCTATGCTTAATAAACACCACTCAGAATTAGTTTTGGCCTGTTTTAGAGAAAGAATTCTGGTATTGAAAGGAAACTCCTGGGGCTGGAAGCCTGAGCTCTCTGGGCTTGGTCTCTGCTCTGCTGGGGCTCTGGGAAAGAAAGATGGTGACCTCTCTGAGCTCCAGCTTCTCAGCAAGGAGGTGAGGATGATGTCATCTCCTTAGGACTCCGCTTTTTTTTTTTTTTTTTTGAGACAGAGTCTCGCTCTGTCAACCAGGCTGGAGTGCAGTGGTGCAATCTCAGCTCACTGCAAGCTCCGCCTCCCGGGTTCACGCCATTCTCCTGCCTCAGCCTCCCAAGTAGCTGGGACTACAGGCGCCCGCCACCACGCCTGGCTAATTTTTTGTATTTTTAGTAGAGACGAGGTTTCACCGTGTTAGCCAGGGTGGTCTCCATCTCTTGACCTCGTGATCCGCCTGCCTCGGCCTCCCAGAGTGCTGGGATTACAGGCGTGAGCCACTGCACCCGGCCCAGGACTCTGCTTTTAGGATCTTGTTTACTGGAGAAGTCTGGTGACTGCTAATCTCATGATATATGAGAGTGAACGGTGTCATGTCATAAGAATGTACAGCTCGAAAGAAACAGGCTTTACTCAAAGTCACAGAACCTCAACCGTCTCCTGCCTTCACAGCCCTCCTGCATATCTGGTTAGTGTCCCATCCAGTAACCGTAACAGCCCACATCTCATCATAAGCAGCATAGGCTGTGGTTGAGAGAGGTGAGAGGAAGAAATGTCCTGTGTTTGTCTTCAGGCATCTCGCCCTGTAAGCGAGGTTCTTCCTGGGGTCAATTGTGATGCTGTTATGGGCAGTATTGGCTGGCAGCAGAATGGTCTGGGGGTTGGGGTGCAGGCCCTGGTCACACAGACCTTGGGTCTAATCTTTACCACCTGCTAGCTGTTTAGCCTTGGGGAAGTTATGGAATCCCTCTGAGCCTTAGTTTCCCCATCTTCAAAATGGGGATTGTAATCATGGAGATGCCTAAAGTGCATCCAAGAAAGGTGTTGGGAAGAAAAACTGTGGCTTGAGACTAACTTTTGAGAGCTGTTGGTGCAGAGGAGGAAGTTCAAGCTTGAGGAGTGAGAGATTCCCTTGTGAGTATGCACAGTGAGGAGAGGAGCTAAAAGATACAAGGAAGGAATCTCTATGTTGTATTAATAAACAAGAGAAGTGGAGAAATAGCAGCTTGTGGAGGATGCGGGAAGGGGCAGCCCAGTAATTAGAAGAAGCAGAGGAGTGATGTCTCATTACAGCATAAGTCTTGTTTACATGCCTGTCTTTATTAGTTTTAATGTCTTAAAGCATTGCCTTAGTCATCTCCGTATCCTCCACATCTGAAGTGTCCAAAACATAGTAGATGCTCAGCATTCTTTGGGCTATGTCTCTCTACATTCTTTGGCCTATCGCTCTGCTTGGCTGCTCTGAAGTTTTGTTCCCATTTTCTACCCTGCCTGCTTTGAATGGCCCATAATGCCCCGTTTCAGGTTATGAACAGTGACTCTCCTCAGGGCAGCGTGACAGACATCTTGCATCCTACCATACTGTCTCCCGTGGCAGACATCACCAATTGATCACCGCACTCTGTCCTCTGAGTCTGGTCCTGGATTTAAAATCCTTCTCAACTCTGTCGTTCCATTACCAGCCAGTACCAATCAATAAACACTGGAATTCAAGGTGGCCATCTTTGCTCCAATGGTGTTATTCAAGGGAAGCCAGGTTTCTCTCTGGTTCATCCTGGCTCCTGAGTCTCCTCTAAGCTGGGCCTTACCTAAGCTCATCGCGGCATGGCTCCAGCCATCTGCGAAGTCTGCACTTCGCCTATAGTTTTCTGGCCTAGTTTTTTTCACACCATGGTGGCTCTTAAAAATATTTTCCTGGCAGCAAATGGGTGTCTTCCTGCTGGGAGGAAAAGGGAAGAAGAATTAGCTGCTTCCCATCTGAGAACTTCCACTGGAATTGATTTATCCCAGCAGAAAGAGCCCAGCATTTTCCTTCCAAATTAATATGCAAATGAGTATAAGCAACACCTCCCACGGGCAGGTTCAGAACACAGCGGTATTATCCTGGAACATTTATTAGCACTATTAATAGAGTTCACTGCCTTCCTCCTCCCCCCTGCTTTTATTGCCATTCTAATTATGGACCATTTTGTTTCATGTTCTCCTTTCCTGGTCCTGGTGCAGGCCCACCGTGCTGGTTAGGAAAAATGCTCTGTCGGGCGAGTGGGCCGCCTGGGTAGGGGGCCGCATTCTTCGTGGATGTCGTCTCATTCCATGACATTGCTCTCCTTGCCTGGTGCCCTCTGTCTGCGGAGGGCACTTTCTTCATGTCTCTGACATCACAGTAACTTGAAGAGGAAGGCTACTGAGATCCAGAAAACTGCCCTTGGAGTGAGGTTACAGCTGAACAGCCTCTGAAAGGGCTTTGGGGTTTCTCAAGGAAAGGGGCATCCAATGGAGGTGGCACCCCTTTGAGAATCCCAGGCCCCTGGGAGTCCTTGCTGGGACAGGCAGTGTTCCTGGCACCCATCTCATTCCCACCATCATCCAACAAGGAAAGGATGGGATCCCCGATTACTGGGGAGGAAACTGAGTCACAGAGATGTTATAACTTCACCTGGGTTGATGGTCTGGCTCCAGACCCTGTGTTTTTAACCAGTTTTCCATGGGGGTCTCCTCCTGGGGCCTCACCATCTCTTTCCTTTTCCTTGGCAAAGCAGTCAAGCTCAGCCATTATGCTGTTAAGTAACTTGATCGAGGTCCCACACAAAGTATGTGGCAGTCTGGGTCAAGAACCTGTGGTTTTTCACCAAATGAATTTGCCTCAGTTTCCCCACTGTGACCAGGTTTTGAGAAGCTGATAAAATGGTTTAGAGGTTCCAGACATTGCTATGGGCCCATGACTTTTTGCTTAGCTCAAATGGAAAGACCCTCTGGGGAGGCCTGTGTATTCTTTCCACCAGGAAGCGAACACCTCATATTTGGAAACTCCCCACCCTCTTTTTAAAATCACAGACAATATATTGGAAAAGAAGTGGTTCCTTCTGTTCATTCATTCATCCACCCACCCATTCATCCAGTCAGGTTTCACTCAGTGCTTGTGGCTTCAGAGATGCTGAGCTTGGACATTTTATGCAGCATCACTGCGAGGTCAACTGTCTGTGCCAAGCAGGGGTTGACCTGTCTTTATGTTTCCCAAAGGGTAGTGCAGACCCCAGGCTTTGGGGAGAAATGTGCGTGTGCCTGGCTTTGTAGAGGATGCTGAGATTTGCTGTTGGGGCTCAGGAGATCTCGGATGTGAACACGTCTTGTAAATCCCATGGCTGTAGCCAATGGGCTGGTGCCTGGCAGTGCTTACTGTGTGCTTGTTTGAGGGTTGATGGGCAAAGATGGTTCTGCACAGGAGAAGGCATGGCTTTAGAAGCCAGGCTGGGCTCTACCAGGAAATTTTATTTCAGCCCTTGGCCAAGTCACTCCCTGCTTTGGAGCCCAGTTTTTCCAACCCATAAGATAAAGTGGTGGTTATAAATGAGGGTTCCACATTCTTGGGGTTCCCTCTTCTTCCTGAGCTGCTGTTAGGCTCAGGCTGAGCATCCTGATGCCGAGTCCAGAGTCCCCCACTCCTTGCTGCAGCTTCCCTCCTGGCCCATCTGCCAATGCTTCCCTCTCTGTTCAGAGCAGACTTTGCCTGGGTGGTTGTGGAAGGAGCTGGCAGGGTGCTGTTGGTGGGAGCTTGGCTGCCAGGATGGATGGCCGGGTGTGGCTGGCTAGGGGAAGGAAAAGATGCTTGAAAGACACCGAGGGGGCAACATTTATTTTGCATCCAGAGTGAAAGGTCACTCTTCCCTTTGACTGATGGGGCTTTTGGGGAGGCGGAGTGAGTCAGACCAGGGAACTGAAACTCTCTTGGTATTGCCATCTCTGCGGGCAACCATCCTTAACAAGACTCCAAGGCCATTGGGTTGAGATTCAGTTACTTTCTGTAGGGCTGTCATTAGAAACCACAGGTCAGTGGGCACCAGGGGCCATCCTGGGTCACTGGAGAGGAGGGCGTTCAGTCCCTTGTGTCAGCCCCATTGACCAGGGTGGCCTTTTATTCACAGAGTCTGGGGAAGGCTGTGCTGTATGATGATGAAGTGTGGATGGGAGATTCAGGGGGCTGAGCAGGGGAGGCTAACAGAGCTGGTGGAGTTACCTCCCAGGGCCTTGGCTTTCCCCGAGAAACCCAGGGTGGCTGCATCCTTTGTGGGGTCAGAACCCCCAAAGGCTGGAGAACTCATAAGCAGGGTGGGGTCCCCAGTTTAGGCTGGGACACAAAATGTTTCTGGAATTATTTAGGTTGACACTGAGTGGTGTCCCCAGTCCCCTGGCTCATACGTGAGCCCCTTGCACAGCAGCCAGTTTCTTGAGCACCTACTGTGTGCTGTCATGTACTAGGCACTCAGCACACGGACTTCTCATTAACTTTTTTTTTTTTTGAGATGGAGTCTTGCTCTGTCACCCAGGCTGGAGTGCAGTGGTGTGATCTCGGCTTACTGCAAACTCTGCCTCCTGGGTTCATGCCATTCTCCCGCCTCAGCCTCCCGAGTAGCTGGGACTACAGGCGCCTGCCACCACGCCTGGCTAATGTTTTGTATTTTTAGTAGAGATGGGGTTTCACCATGTTAGCCAGGATGGTCTCGATCTCCTGACCTCGTGATCCACCTGCCTCAGCCTCCCAAAGTGCTGGGATTACAGGCGTGAGCCACCCCGCCCAGCCTCGTTAACTCTTTACTACAACCCTGTGAGTTAGTTGCTGTTGCTTCTGACCTAATGAATGAGATAACTGAGACCGAGAGAGCTCCAGCACTTACGCAGGCACTTACTCAAGGTCACACAGCTGATGAGTGAGGATAAAGGTCTCATTTCCCCACGCCTGTGCTCCCTATCTGGTACCACCTCATCTGAATTTCTTGCTGTTTTGCAGACAGAAGGGCTTGGGTTGAGAGGGAGCAAGGTGTGACCCTTCTGGGCAAGTGAGACCATGTGAGAAAATCACAGAGGTGGGGCTACACCTGGCATGCTTGGGGTTGGCAGGAAGGACAGTGAGGACACATGGAGTTTGTGTAGGGAAAGGAGTCAACCTCTACAAAGGCTTAAAAGTGACCATTACACATTCACGGGTTACTTTAGCCACCTCCATTTACCTGGGGTCCATATAAAGATGTGGTCAGGTGCACAGGCTTGGCCTTGAGCAGGGTTCTAATCCTGCCACTTGGAAGCTGATAACCTCACGTGAGCAACTTGCTCTAGTGCCTCCGTTTCCTCATGTGTAAAAGCGGGCTATGAATGGTGTCTACTTTATAGGGTGGTTGTGAGAGTGAAATGAACACCTAAGTTGCTTACACAGCACTGCACATATGATTAGTCAGGGTCTGTACTGTGCCCACTGCTGAAGAGTTTAAATTTCCCTCTGGATCCAGCTCTGTCTATTTCGTTCAATGTTCCTTTTACGAAGCCACAACATGTCAAATCAAGATGAGAGGGAGGAAGAGGTAAGGGAAGACCCCCAGCTGGAAAGGGAGGCAAGGGAAAGGAGGGTCAGTGACTCGCAGGGCATAGTGTGGGGCCGGCAGCCCAAGGGCCAGGCTGTCTAGGGTCAGGGTGGGGTAATGTCAGTGCAGGGGCCATGGCCTGCCAGCCCAGCTTCCAAATCTCTCCGGCATTTTAGTTTCCTCTAAGGACTGACATCCCATGGCTGCTCCAGGCAGTAGGAAACTCTATTTCCTCCTCTCTTCACACCATTTCTCTTCTTGGCATAAGGGGGTCATAAATGGTTTATGATGGCTTTTTATTCCCAGTGTCAAGACCTGGCTCCTGCTTTTAGCCCTGCCATGAGCTGGCTACGTGACTTTGGGGGCAGCACTTTTCTTCTCTGAGCTTCAGTTTCCACGGGTGTAAAATGGGTGGTTTGGATTAGAACTGGCTGTTTTCACACTGCCCTCCACAGCACCCTCAGACCCCCACCCCCACCCACTGTTGGGCAAGGAGAAGGGGGTGAGGAGGCAGGGTTCTCCCAACTCCTCTTTGTATGGTTCCATGGCTTAAAACGTGGTGGGTAATCTTTGTGTAGATGTAGCCTCTTCATCATAGATGCTCATGAACTAGAGCGCCCACCCCATGGTCCTGAGGTAGATGAAGGGGGAAAAACTTCACTTGGGCAGAACCTGAGAGAGAAGAACATCCCACAGAAGGCTGGGTAGAGCCCAGCTCCAATCCCACCTCTAAGACAAGCCTTCTCTGATTCTCTTACACATTTGTCTTTCCACCAAGAGGACAATAGATGTAATAAATAATACCTATGCAGCACTTACTTTGTGCCATGCACTGTTCTATTTTTCATATTTTAATCCTATTTGTAGCACCCCCATGAGGAAAATGAAACTATTAGCTCCTTTTTAGAGATGAGCAACCCAAGGCTCACAGAGACATGAAAGGTCTGACCCAGGGTCCTGCAGTAGAAATGGCAGAGTGAACATCTGACCCTAGGCAGCTGGACTCCAAGGTCCAGGCTTTTAACTTCCATCCCATGCTGCTTATCACCACAGTCTGCGCCCATCTCAAATTTAAAAGTCATAAGCTGCATCACTTAGGGACTGCAGATAGTGGAAACTGACCATGGATGCTGTATTGGCTTATAGGGCTGCCATGACAAAGTACCACAGACTGGAGGGCTTCAATAATACCTGTTAATTTTCTCATGGTTCTGGAGGCTAGAAGTCCAAGGCCAAAGTGTTGGCAGGGTTGGTCATATTTGGAGGTACTGAGGGTTAGGACTTCAACATATACATTTTGGGGTGAGATATAGTTCAACTCAAAACAGTTGCCTCAAGCACAAAGGGAATTGTTGGAAAGATATTAGGGAGGGGTATCAGATAAACATGATGTAGCTAGACCCACAGCATTGGTGGTACCCATGGCACCAACTAAACTGTGAGAACAGCCTGGAGGGCTTGCAATACTGGCCCTGTGTTGACTCTGATGCCTGGTCAGCCCTTTGAGAGAGAGAGAAAAAAAAAAAGAAATGGAGAGAGAGAGAGAGAGAGAGAGAGAGAGAGAGAGAGAGAGAGAGAGAGAGAGAGAGAGAGAGAGAGAAAGACAGAGACTATCTGAGTGTGAATCATATATTTGGGCGCCTGAAGATGCTAGGGCTGAGAAGCTGAGGATGAATCCTGCAGATTTCTATCAGGGCAGGTGGGTGCTATTGCTTGCAAACACTGCCTGTCATGGGGGCACACCCAGAAAGGATGGGAAACTGTTATTATCAAGGAGAGTTAGTTCTAATCCCCTTCATTTCTTCTGCCCTTCCAACCCCCAAATCAACAATTGTCTCTGCTATGTGCTTATTTGTCTTCCAAGCCAAGCTCTGTGTTCCTTAAAACATCTGCTTGTGGATCAGGTGTGTGACACATGCCAGGTGGTATCAGACTTATTTATTGAGTGCTTACTGTGTGTTAGGCATTGTGTTATGTGTTCGAAATTTCTAATTTCACTTAATACGGTGGCTCTGTAAGGAAATATTGATACATGCAGAATACCTGATTGCTATTGTTTGAATATATTTATAGATGTCCCGCCATCCAGGTTCATATGTTAAAAATCACTAGTGCAGTGGTATTAAGAGGTGGGGCCTTGGCTGGGCGAGGTGGCTCATGCCTGTAATCCCAGCACTTTGGGAGGCTGAGGCGGGCGGATCACGAGGTCAGGAGATCAAGACCATCCTGGCTAACATGGTGAAACCCCGTCTCTACTAAAAATACAAAACATTAACCAGGCATGGTGGTGGGTGCCTGTAGTCCCAGCTACTCGGGAGGCTGAGGCAGGAGAATGGCGTGAACCCAGGAGGCGGAGCTTGCTGTGAGCCGAGATTGCGCCACTGCACTCCAGCCTGGGCGACAGAGCGAGACTCTGTCTCAAAAAAAAAAAAAAAAAAAAAGAGATGGGGCCTTTAGCAGATGATTAGGTCATGAACGCTGAGCCCTTATAAAAGAGCTTTTTAGCCCCTTTCACCATGTAAGGATGCAGCAAGAAGGCACCATCTTTGAAGCAGAGAGTTAGCCCTCACCAGACAGTGAATCTGCTGGTGCCTAGATCTTGGACTTCTCAGTCTCCAGAAATGTGAGCAATAAAACCTCTATTGTTTATAAATTACCCGGTCTAATATATTTTGTTATAGCAACAGAAATGGACTAAGACACTAAGGGTAGATTGATTAGGTCATTCTTCCAAGATCCTACCACTGGTATATGAACTCATTCATTCAGTCAGTCAACAAATGTTTAGTGAGTTCCTAGTATGTGCTAGGCTTGATGCTTTGGAACACAACAGTCTCAAGCCAGATATGGTCTCTGTCATTACAGAGATCAGAGGCCAGCAGAGAGGAAGGAATTCTAATTCCCAATGATTCCAAAACCCAGGGTTTTATCGGTTGTTTTAGAATGACTTCTAAGAGAGCATAACAATTTTCAGATGCAGTATTTTAATTTCAATTTCCATCTGGAGGGGTGATATAGCATAGTAGTTAAGAACAGACTCTGAATCTTGATACTGTGGATTCAAATCCCAGCTCTACTGTTTACTACTAATAATAGAGAATTAAGGGAGGTAATTTATATGGCGTTTGAATTGGAGAAATGTAAGAACCGCTAAGAAAGGGCTGTGTCTCAGGTACCTAAAACAGTGCCTGGCATATAGTAAGTGCTCAAAAAATGTGTGCTGAATGAATGAATCCATAAATTACCCATGTGGGTCTACTGAATTCAACACTTAAAGGCAATGACACCTCCTTATCTGGCTTGCAGAGGCTGCCTGCCCCCTCAGTATTTCATTTCTGGCATCAGAGAAGACTTTCAGGGTTTGAACCTTGTTCTTCTTGGGATGGGTGTGGCTGATGACAGATGTCATATTCATAGCTTCTTGAGGATCATGCCTCATTCTTTTAAGTTCTCCAAGGCTCCAAGGCTCCTGCATGGTAGCAAGGATGAAGGAGCTGATTCTCAGAGTTTCATCTGAACAGGATGGATTTTGTGTATCCTTCTGCAGCCATGACCTCTGACTACAGCTCAAGCCTTCCCAAACCCTCACCCTCCTCTGCTCCCAGTTCTATTCAACAGAGCACAGTTTGCTTTCTCTGCTTTCTCTCCCACGGGATGGTTGTATCAGGAAGTAGGGACTTGTTTCTTATAGAATACCTTACTTCTAAGACCCACTCAGAGGAAAGAAGGCTTAATTACTATTGACTCTGTACTTTATTTTACTCTGGGAGACAAAGTTTAATAACACTTAGGAATTAGGACAGATATTTTTCCCAGGTTGGGTTCTGCTGACCAGCACAGAGCTTTCTCCGATTCATCACATCTTCTAAATCAAAGCAACTCAGTATGACTTTTACTCTCTTTGTTTTCTAGGAAGAGATAATCTGAAACAACAGTATATGACTCAAACTCTCCTCTTCTCCTCCTCCCATAAGGTAATTAAACAGGTAAATCCTGGGGCTGCCTGTGGCCCTGTCTCAATACAGTGTCTCACTCAAAAAAGCCCGCCTTTCCAAAAGGAAACCAACAGTGCTTCATTTCTCACCTGGTCTCTCAATGGAATGCTGAAGAACAGAATCTTTATTTATTTATCCCTTTGAAAGAAGATTTAATATACTACTGATTATAAAATGAATCACTTTTTTTTTTTTTTTTTTTTTTTTGAGATGGAGTCTCGTTCTGTCGCCAGGCTGGAGTGCAGTGGCCCAATCTCGGCTCACTGCAACATCCACCTCCCAAGTTCAAGCGATTCTCCTGCCTCAGCCTCCTGAGTAGCTGGGACTACAGGTGTGCACCACCACACCAAGCTAATTTTTATATTTTTAGTGGAGATGGGGTTTCACCATGTTGGCCAGGATAGTCTCAATCTCCTGACCTCGTGATTCACCTGCCTTGGCCTCCCAAAGTGCTGGGATTACAGGGCATGAGCCACCGTGCCCAGCCAAATCATTATTTTTTTGTAGCACCAAGGAAGGAAAAAACTCTGCCAATTTAGTTATCTTGTACCACCCATTGTAAAATGCAGCCCTATTTCAGAGTTGTTAAAATGTGAAAAAGATGTATGTCTTAGATTCGCTGCAAAATATAGTACATAGCCTAACAACCACCACTACCACAACCACAACAAAAAATAGTGTAGAGGAGCCTAGGACCAAGAAGTTCACTTGGACTTTTACTTCCCTAGTCCTGGACATCAGGGACTATGACAAAAAAAAAAAAATCACTTCTTGTTGTTTCGTCTGTATCACTAATTAACCTTTTTTTCTTTCATTTCTTAACAGCTTATTTTCTTAAAATATATAATATTTTAATTTGAAAGACTCAATATATGACAGATATAGCTTTATCTCCCTTTTCTCCCAGAGGGAATTACTGTCTTGAATTTGGTGACATACATTACTCTCATATATGTTTTCTGATTTTTATGACAGATGTTTCTATCCATATCAACAAAACTTTACCAACTTTTTTTTTTTTTTTTTTTGAGACAAGATCACTCTGTCACCCAGCCTAGAGTACAATGGCACGATCTGGGCTCAATGCAACCTCTGCCTTTCAAACTACAGCCATCCTCCCTCCTCAGCCTCCTGAGTAGCTGGGAATACAGGCGCATGCCACCATGCCTGGCTAATTTTTTTTTTTTTTTGTATTTTTTTAGAGACAGGGTTTTGCCATGTTGCCCAGACTCAAACTCCTGGACTCAAGTGATGTGCCTGCCTCAGCCTCCCAAAGTGCTGGGATTACAGGTGTGAGCCACTGTGTCTGGCTGGTGTATTCTTAAAATATAGAAACATCCTGGAGATCCTCTCTCTTTTTCTCTAATGCTGCTTCTCTCTCTCAGTATTTTCATGGAGATGGTGGCTTCTTCACTCACCCCCAGATATCTTTGCCTCCCCTTAACTCCCACCTCCCTCCTTCACATTCTTCCTGACGCTCTGCCTGCATTCTGTTTCCTCTCTCTCGGCTTATTGTGTAGATCAGGTTGGCAAACTTCTTCCTTAAAGGACCAGTGAGTAAACATTTTAGGTTTTGCAGGCCACATGGTCTCTGTAGCAACTACTCACCTCTGCCACTGTAGCCTCAAAGCAGCCACAGACAATATTTAAATTAGCGAACGTGGCCGTCTTCCATTAAAACTTCATTTGTGTACACTGAAATTTGAAATTTATATAATTTTCATGCCATGAAACAGTACTTTGTTTTGATTTTGTTTCAACAATTGAAAAATCTAAATACCTGCTGGGTGCAGTGGCTCACACCTGTAATCCCAGCACTTTGGGAGGCTGAGGCAGGCAGATCACTTGAGGTCAGGAGTTCGAGACCAGCCTGGCCAACATGGTGAAACCCTGTCTCTACTAAAAATACAAAAATTAGCTGGGCGTGATGGCAGGTGCCTGTAATCCAAGCTACTTGAGAGGCTGAGGCAGGAGAATTGCTTGAACCTGGGAAGTGGAGGTTGCAGTGAGCCGAGATTGCGGCACTGCACTCCAGCCTGGGCGACAGAGCAAATCTGTGTCTCAAAAAAAAATAAATAAATAAATAAAATAAAATTAAATTAGAAGTAAAAATCTAAATACCATTCTTAGCTCAGGTCAAGGGCTGTATTTGGCCCACGGCCATAGTTTGCCAACCCTTTATCTAGATTATTGTAGCCTCTCAGGGGTCCTTAAATTCTCTCTGTCTCACCCATTATCCTAAATTCTCCCCAGCAAAGGAGCGATGTAGGCTGAGATTGCAGGCAAGAATCCCCCCCTTTTAGCATCTGAGGGGAGAGGACTACAGGAATACTCACACATTTATAATATTATATCTGCTACACTAAGGGGGTGTCACACATTCTCTCTCTCTCTCTCACATACACACACACACACACACACACACACAAACACACATTTTAAGGGATTCCTTTAAAAGTTTTCCATACCACATGACTCCATTTGACCAGGAGTGATTTCCATCCAGCCCGGCCGCTCCTTCTTTATCTTCCTGGCTCCCACCCGCTCTCCTTGCACTGCTGGTACCTTTCCATTGGCCAGCACTTGGATTCAGGCTGGAGAGCAATAGGCAGGAATTAATTTAAAGAGAAAAGGATTCTGAGTCAGCAAATGTTTGCTCAGCAACTCCTGTGGGTTCAACGCCTGGCTAGTTTGTTTTATTCCTCTTACCATCTTCACAATCAAGTGAGGAAACTGAGGCTCAGTGAGGATAAGGACTGCTCAAAGAGAGAAGAGCCAGTGATGGAGCTTACAAAATCCACATCCTGTCTCCTCTTGGGAGCTCTGGTGGCCTTGACAAAGGTATTGACTCCTAGGAAAATTGAGTGCACGTGTTAGTAGATTTGTCGGCATAATGAGACAGTAGAAAGCAGGAGCAAGAGCCCTGGGCTGGGAGACAGGTGCCTGCATTTTGCTCCTGTCTCCTCCTCCAAGAGTCTGTGCTATTTTGGGCAGGTCTCTTGCCTTTTCTGGGGATTGGGCCATGTAGTTGGATGGTGTGATATTGCCCAGTTTTACTCTAGGACTGGGAGCAAGACTTTCCCTTCTACACCTGCTCTGGGTGTCAAGAGCTTTGTCTTTTGTTTTGAAGGGGCTTACTAAAACACAGGGCCATTGAAAAGTGGGATTTCCATGTCAGAAAATCTGGATAGGCTTAGCAAAGCCTCTGGGTGTGGCTGTTGTCCTCCTGCTGGATAGTCCATGGGGGACCTGGGCTGCTAGGCAGGACTTCATTCAAGTGCTGTCCTTGCTTGAACCATGAGGCATAGTCTGGGGTATTGACTGGACTCCTACGTGGCTCCGTGCTGCTGGGCACAAAGAGCATATGAGACCCATCCCAGGCTGCCTGGGTGCCCTCCACGTGGTCTTGGTTCTTTGGTCTTCTTCTTGGCCACAACTCACATCTCCTTCTTCTACTCCAAGCCTAGCATTTGAGCATCATTTTTCAAAAAGTTGAAAACATGACGTTCAGATATAAAATAAATAAGATTTTATTTAACTCAGTTAATAAAGGATCAGTAAGATATTAAAACAGTTTCAAGGAGAACACACACACATGCACACACACACCTACTTGCACACACACACACCAATCAGGGATGCGGAAATAAATTTGCTGATAGATGCAAAATTAGTTAAATTAGTTCATATTCTACAGGGCTGCAGTTCTCAAACTTTTTGGTTTTGGCTTATTGTTACAGTCTTGGAAATTATTGAGGATTTCTCAAAGAGCTTTTGTTTATTTGCGTTATATCTATCAATATTTGCTGTTTTTAAAATTATTTATTTATTTTGAGACAGAGTCTATGTCACCCAGGCTTGAGTACCATGGTGCGATCTCGGCTCACTGCAACCTTCACCTCCTGGGTTCAAGCAATTCTTATGCCTCAGCCTCCTGAGTAACTGGGATTACAGGCATGTGCCACCATGACTGGCTATTTTTTTTTTTTTTTGCATTTTTAGTAGAGACAGGGTTTTGCCATGTTGGCCAGGCTGGTCTCGAACTCCTGGCCTCAAGTGATCTACCTGCCTCGGCCTCCCAAAGTTCTGGGATTACAGGCATGAGCCACCATGCCCGCCCAATATTTGCTGTTTTAGAAGTTAAAACTGAGACATTTTTAAAACACAAGAATACACAAGTGCAAATTCCATTTGCTGTCAGAGCAATACTAAAAGTATCACAAGTCATGTAGTCTCTGGAAGACGTCGCCGTACACTCATGAGAAAATGAGAGTGAAAAAGGCAAATAGTGCCTTACTATTATTATGAAAATAGTTTCACTTAACAGGCTCCTCGAAAGTGTCTCAGGCAATCTGATGTACCCAGGTGACACTTTGAGATCCACTGCTCTTGGGCAATAAAATGTAATGATTGGGATTATATTTTTCCCAATAAAATTCATTTTCATTGCTATGGACAAGAATCATTTGCATTACTATGAGCTCTCTATAACTTCTAACCATAGAGAGCTGTAAAATAACCCAGCTGATTGAAGTCGGCCAAAGGTACTCATCCTGGTAAAAGTAGGTAATCCCTGGAGATCCACGGGATAATACACAGAACTCCAGGGAAAGGATGCCCAGTGCTTGGTTTTGTTCATTTCCAAGTCTTTGTCAGTTTTTGCTGACACCACAAACCCTCCTCTGGTTTCCCTGGTGACAGGGCTGCCTGACTCTCTGCCTTCTGTTTCTGGTCTGTCCTTACGGCATAAGCTCCATGTCCATCTTCCCTCTGGGCTCTTCCCTTTGGTTCCAAAGAGCTTATTGTAGAAGTTAAAAAAAAACATACAGTAAAGTGATTATCATAATCCTAATTATCCTCTAGGCAATGCAGAAAAGAAAAAACATAAGGATAAACATATTGAGATTTGCTCTTGCTCCAGCACAATTCCCTGAAAGGCTTCTTCTAAGCCTGGTATCCTGGGAGTGGCAGTGTTTTCAGCGTGGCAGACAGAGCAGTCAGGAAGCTGGGAGCCCAAACAGCGTGAGACAAAGCCACAAAACAGAGGCCGCGCATCAGTCGGTAAGTCATTTCTGTCTTACATCTCACCTTGATAATGAAAGGAAATAAATGTCTTGGTCACGAAACCAGGATCATGATGTGGAAGGACTTCAAGTCTAAACCTTATGGGGGCAGGGGTTGCATCTTGATGAGCCCAGTTGGAAACATACAGAAGATTGGTCCAAGGATAAGAGGAATCAGCAAAGATCTGTCCAAGTAGGGCTACCCGGATAGGGTGGCTAGGAAGTCCTTGCATGAACCAGGATTGCTTTTGGCTACATGTAATAGAAAAACACCTCCATAGTGGCTTAAACACATAAAGGATTATTTGTCAAATAGACCAAGTGCTTCATCGCCTTTCTTACCACGTAGGCCTGTACTCTTATGCTTGTCACCTCATAGTTACTTGCACCATGGCTGTTGCATCCCTAGGAGTCTTCCAGTAGGAAAGAAGGGGTAAGGGACAAGCAGCACCAAGGAGAAAAGGGCAACATACATACATTCATGCACACACGGACACAAAGCACAAACACACACACACACACACACACACACGACTTTTTCTAGAAAGAAAAACATTCCCTGGGCCTTCTGCTACATCTCGCTGGCCACAGCTGCTGTGTATGGCTCGCCAGGCAGGTGGGAAATAGGTTATTTTACCCTTCTCAACCTTTGAAATAGAGAAAGACAAGGAGGAATTGGTTATAAATAGTCTTTGGGTAGACAATTCACAGTGTCTGCCCAGCCCGCTCGTGAGAAATACAGGGATGAACAGACTCGACACAGAACTCAAGGTAAGGAACCTGGGGGTAAAGTGCAGGTCTGCATCACAGCCCACAGGTTCCCACCTTCCCCTTCATTGCCAACATCCCTGCCCACTCCCTCTGCCATACTCCTTCATAGGTGCAGCCATACCTACTCATTATTTCCAGTTTTCTGAATACACCCCTTTGTTTTACACCTTCATGATTTTTTTCATGCTTTCCCCTCTGCCTGGGATGCCTCTCTGTGGTCACCCTCCTCCATCCACATAGTGCCTGTGCTGTGTGCCAGACATAATACAATGAACAAGATCCCTGGAGTCTCTGCTATACTTAGACTTAAATCCTGGGGGAAGGGGCAGAACTAAAGATGGAGCCCATTCCTGATGGGCTGTGGGCAGCCTATGGAGGTAAGTGTTGTTATCATGTCCATTTTAGAGATGAGCAAATTGAGGTTTGCTCAGCAAGTTAAATGCCCATCAAGTTAAATGACTTGCCCAAGGTCACAAGGCTTGAGTGAAAGAGGTGGAAATTGAACCTGGGTTTGCCTGACCCAAAGTCAATGTGTTATGCTACCTTTTACTTTGCCTTTCAAAGGACAGTGCTTCACATACATGTGAAGACTGCAGTCAAATTCTTGAAGAATCTTTCTTCTCAGAAAGATACATCTCCATTCTAATTGCCCACGCCTCCCTAGATTGAGTGTTCTCAAGGGTAGGGCCTGGGCCATATTTAATTGAACATCTTTGGAGTTGAGCATCTTGTCTGTCACATAGTAAGAACCTCAAAACCCAAAAAACTTTGATTTGATTCCCAGCTCCACCAAGACTGTTGACCTTGGACAATTTGCTCAACCTTTCTGGCCTCAGTGACTCCACCTATAAAGTGAGCCTCAATTGTGAAGCTTGGTACTATGGTGTCTAATAAACCTCCCAAATGCTTTATTTGGATCAGAAGGCCTGAGTTTGGAGATATCATTGCCAAGGATGGCAAAGGCTTCAGCTTAGTTCTGGTTCCTTGAGATATTTGGCCATGTAACTTTCTATGACGTTCAGCCCTGTAAAATGAGGAAAAAATACCTTCTTCAAAGTATTGACAGGAGGACAAAAAATAACATACATTATAATAATGAGACTAGCTACCATTTATTGAGCACTTACCATGTGTGAAGATCTCTGCTACGCCCCTTTCATGTTATTGCTTGAAGACTTATAATAACACAGGAAGAAATGTATTATTATTCCCATTTTTCTGATAGTGAAACTGAGAGGTTAAGTAACTTGCCCAAGGTTGTCCAGATGGTCAGACCTGATTTGAACTCAGGATTGACTCCAAGGACTGTGCTATTAAATGGCAATGATAAAATGAAGCCATGTAACTACAAAATGCTGTAGAACATTAGTCCATGTACCCAACATAGGTTGCATAATTGAATGAGTCAATGAATGAATACCTTTTCCATCTTTTAGCTTCGCCTATTTCATGTCCGGCACAGTGCCATACATATAGCAGGCATATAGTGCTTATTGATAACGAATAATGAATGAATGGGCTTTGTGATGGTTAATTTTATGTGTCAACTTGATTCCATCAAGGGTGCCCAGATTAAGTATTATTTCTGGGTGTGTTTGTGAGGGTGTTTCTGGATGAGATTAGCATTTGAATTGGTGAACTCAGTAAAATAGATTGCCCTTCCCTTGTTGGTGGGCATCATACAACCACTGAGGACCTGGATAGAACAAAAAGGCAGGGGAAGGAGGAATTCACCCCTTTTGCTTCCTGCCTTCTGAGTTGAGACATAGGTCCTTTTCTGCCCTTGGACTGGGATTTACATCACTGGTTCCCATGGTACTCAAGCCTTTGTACTTGGTCTGGAATTATACCACTGGCTTTCCTGGGTCTCCAGCTTGCACATGGCAGCTCATGGGACTTAACTTCCATAATCATGTGAGCCAATTCCTCATACTAAATCTCTCTCTCTCTCTCTCTCTCTCTCTCTCTGTCTCTCTATATATGTTCTGTTTCTTTGTAGAACTCTAATACAGGCTTATACACCTTTGCATCCTTGTCTTACCGTGCATAACCTGTTCATTCATTCTGCTGATGGTTATTAGGTGCCTACTGTATACAAGAGCTTTTCTACAGGTTAGAAATAAACCCAGAGCAAGGGATAAAATAATTGCATAGGAAGTAGTTTGCAGAAGTGGAATGAAGAGAACCCAGAGGATTGCTCCCACCCCCAGCCCCCAGACCCAGTTCTCGAGATTAGCTTATGCTCTTGGAAAAACAAACCAGCCACCTGCCTAGTTGATCCTGTCATTTAATGTGCTATTTCCCCTGCCTTTGCTGTTCTTCCTGCTGGAGAAGGTCCTTTGCGAGCAGAAAGGAACTCTCTTGTCCAGAGAGCATGTCCTCTCCTTCCTTGTAGCCCACCTCAGCTCAGTTCATCGTCTCTGGCTGGTGACACTGCAGTCAATTGCCTGGGAATTACTGTGAAATTACTCTGGGAAAATTAGAATGCCAAGAGGGGACTGAGCAGGGAGAAGAGGTGAATATCGAGCTGCAGGGGAGCGGCTTTCTGACAAAGACCTGGGGAAACTGTTTATAATATCGCAATCCATTTGGGGATGTCTAACTTACATCATCAAAAATGCCTGTGAGGTCGTAGTCAAATTGCTCCAACTCCCAGGGCTTTGGTTTTCTCATCTTGCTTTAGCTTCCTGCTGGCCTTCTACTCCTTGAACGCAAGCTCTGTGGCCTCTGAGCCTTTGTACTTAACAGTTTGGGATACTCTTCTGTCTTCTCTTTACATGAATGACTCCTCTTCATCCTTAAAGGCTCGGCTTAATGTCACCTCCTCAAAAAGGCTTGTCCAAAGCAGGCATGCCCTACTTAATCCTGCGGTGACTCTGTATCACATGTATCACTTCTGATGTTATTTTCTTCACTTACTTATAAACATGTTCATTATTTATCCTCCCTTCTACTACTACTACTACTACTACTACTACTTCTACTTCTAATGTAAGCTCCATGAACTGTCCTGCCTTTGTCCCCCAGGGCCTGGCCCAGGTCCAGAACATAGTAAACACTCAATAAATATTTGTTCGGAGAGTCAGTAATAGGTAGTTTGTTAATGATGTTATTTCTAGTAGCACTGATATCCCCATTAGAGAGGGACAGAGATCTGGCCTGGGAGATAGTGGACATCTGGTACCCAAATGCTAGCCACAGCTGTCACACTATGACATTCTCTGCTAATGTGTCAACAGATATGTCTTCATTCTCTGGGCAGCAGGAGAGCCAGGGACAAAACAGCATGATCTAGAGGAATCGGTCGTGCTATTGGGAAACAGGGTTTGATCTAGGAGATTTGCCCTTTCAATCCATGTGCAAGACAGGTGCTTTTGACACCTAGAGGAAAGCTTTACTTCCAAATGAATCCTCATTCGTGGGAGTGAAAAACGAGCTCAGCATAGTACAGAGGCCTGATTTGAACTTTAGCTTTGCCTTGGAGGAGATGTGAGAGCTTAGGCAAGTCACTTTGCCTCCTTGAGCCTCATTTGTTTTTCTTTCTTTGTGAAGCTGGGAAGATAGAATTAAATATAATAATGATTGATATAAAGGTGTTTATAAATGTCAAATGCAGTGCAAACATGATTCTCTCCTTCTCTTTCACCTCTTCCTCCCTCTTCTTCCTCTTTCTACTCCTCTTCTTCCTGACTCATGTGTATTATTCTCTAAGTCCAGACATCTGTTATATAAAGTGAACAGCAGGTTTATTAATATGAAAGGAGGGAAAGACCTGTAGGATTGTACATCTTTGAATCACAAGAGATAGAGGCATGGACATGAGACTGGACACCAGATTTTATTTGCCTCCCACACTAGCCTGCCTGCCTGTCTAGAGATTTTAAAGGGATAACCCTGGAGCAAACATCTTGGACCAACGACTTCCACTCCTTGGGCCTCATTTCATCCTGAGTAAAGGTGTGGGGGTCTATCAGGGACGGCCAAGTTGTTTCTATGCTGGGAAAGAGACTGGAGCTATCATGGGGCTCCGTGGGAAATGGTGCTGGGATGGACTAGTGATGTCTGCCACGAATCTGTCAGGAAGAGTGATGGTGCAGGTGCCCTGTACTGGCCCTCTCTGGTCACAAGTGCTATTTCAGGCATTTCCTTGCAGTGACTCTCTAACTGAATTGTCACAGTGAGTCAACTCAGAGAGATACATGCAGCCTAATATTTTGTCTGTGACGGAGGTGCAGAGAGAAGTTTCATCAGAGAGCACACCTGTTTTCCAAGACTTCAACCTTAAAGTTTAAGGATTTCCTTCCTAACAGGCTTTGATAATCCATTAGGAATCAATCACTCATGAATTTAACTAAGCTTTTTGGGAAATGATCTAAAATTTTCACCTCAGTAGCCTCCTGGGGAAATGAGTTCCATAAGTTTATTATCTGCTGCATCACCTGGTGCTTCTTTTTAAATTTCTTTTTTAAATCATCCAAGCCATGAAAAGACGGGGGTGGTGGCGACATCTGCCTCTAATCAGGAGCTGGTGAATGTGCTCATGGTCACCTTGCAGCCTGCCCTGAATTCCGTGGATTTCATTTCTTCCCCTCTCAGTCTGTAACTCTCCAGAATGAAGAGGCAAACCAATTGTCCAGCTTGTCAGGCAGCAGCCCATCTGTGGAATGAAGACAGTTCTGACATTTCCAAGTCTGGATTAAATGCTGCCTCCTCTTGGAAGCCTATCCACATTTCCTAGGGCCAGAATCAATCTCCCGTTATTCTGAGCAGCAGAAGCACTTGGGGGTAATATAAAAACTATCCGCTACATGTAGAAAAACTCTTTATACTTTATGAAGCACTTCCAAATCATTTTGGGTCCCCTGAATTTATAATAATGATAATGATAATAATAAATAATAATAGCTAATATTTATGCAGTCTTGCTTTGTGTTGGATACTGTGCTAAGCATTTTATCTGCATGGATTATCTCATCTCCACAGCCAACTTTTGAGAGAAGCACTATTATTCTCATTTAGTAGGTGAGGAAACTGAGGCACTGAGAGATTCAGTTATTTTCTCAAATTTAAATGTGAGAAAACATAAGCTCAGAGAATGTAAGTGAAGAAACCTGGGTCGTAGTTTCTATGACATCAAGTTTCTTCTCTCTGTCCTTCTCTCCAACTTTTCTCTCTCTCTTAAGAATATTTCATATTGTGTCATGTATTATAGTTTGTTGCTACTTGCCTGCTTTCCTTAGTACATTGTGAATTACTTAAGGTCAAGGTTGTGCTTGAATTATTCTTGAACATTTACTATTCCTGGCTGGGTGCAGTGGCTCATGCCTGTAATCCCAGCACTTTGGGAGGCCAAGGTGGGAAGATCACTTGAGGTCAGGAGTTTGAGACCAGCCTGGTCAAAATGGTGAAACCCTGTCTCTACTAAAACTATAAAAATTAGCTGGGTGGTGCTAGGGCTGGGTTCTCATCTGGATGCTTGATTGGGGAAATAATTACTTCCATACTCACAGTTCTTGGTAGCCTGTAATCCCAGCTACTCAGGAGGCTGAGGCAGGAGAATCACTTGAACTTGGGTGGCAGAGGTAGCAGTGGGCTGTGAGCTGAGATTGTGCCACTGCACTCCAGCATGGGTGACAGATTGAGTGAGACTTAGTCTCAAAAAAAAATATTATTCCTTTTCCAGAGCATAGACTAGGATGGGTTTACCAGACTCTTTCCTTTTTCTTTGGGCATGAGTGAGGCTATAATTCTCAGCATTTCCTGTAGTCAGGAGAAACCATGTGCCTGAGTTGATGAGGACAGAAGTGACTTGTCTACTTTCTGGCTTTACTCCTTACTAAAAAACCACCCATATGGTTCTCTATGTTCTGTTTCTCCCCCTGTCTACAAGCTGGATGCAGAGGTTCCAGTGGGAAACTCTGAGGCTAGGGGATGGGGAAGCCACAGGATGGCAGGAGGCTGGGTTCCTGAATGACTGCATGGAGTAGAGCTAAGTTCTCTTCTTATTTCACTATGACAGGCATTGGGTTCTGATGTGAATCCTCATGAAGGATTTGGGGTTGTTCCTTATAGCAGTGGCCTACCCTGATTAATAAACCATTCCATCAGCCCTTAGCACAATCAATCAGCTAGTATTCTGCCTACATAGAACCTTGATAGATACATGTGTGTTGAATCAAACTGTCTTGGTCTGCCCCTTTTCTGATTAAAATTTTTCTCCATTTCCTCATTAATTAATTCCTCTAGAATTTACCATGTATATCAGTTATCCACTGCTATGAAATAATATTATTATAATCTTGTGGCTTAAAACAACTTGCATTTATTATCTCACCATTTCTATGGGTTTGAAGTGTGGACATGGCTTAGGTGGGTACTTTGCAAGGTTATCATTAAGGTAATGGCTAGTGCTGGGTTCTCATGTGAATGCTTGATTGGGGAAATAACTGCTTCCAAACTCACAGTTCTTGGTAGAAGTCAGTTCATTGAGCTATAGGACTGGGGATTTCGGTTTCTTGAAGGTTGTTAGTGAACGCTATCTTCAGCAACTGGAAGCTGCCTGTAGTTACTTGCTACAAAGCATTCCCTAATATGGCTGTTTGCTCTCTCAAAATCAGCAACAGAGTGAGAGACTCCACCAAGAGGGGCACTACAATTTAATGTAACATAGTCACGTAATCACTTATATGTAATCATGTATATCCCATTGCCTTAGCTACATTCTATTGGTTAAAAGTAAGTCACAGGTCTCACCCACACTCATGGGTTTTCAGATATCCTTTCCTTATTCCCTCCATACTTTCTAATCACCAGCTCTAGTGGGGATGATTAGCACCAGGTGTGTATAGCGTATGAGTGTAATTGAGGCGGGGGTTAGGGGGTGAGATAAGGGGAGCAGCTTGTTGCTGGGAACTCATTAGGAACTTTCTAATGTCTAGGGGTCTCACAAATGTCCCAGTGGTTAAAGGGATATGTATAACCTTCTATTTGATAAGTGCTATTTCCTTTTTATTAGCCTAAACATATGAACCTGTGGCCCAGGAGAGCCTAATCAATACTCTGAAGCTGCCCAACAGCTGCCAGTGTCCTGCCAGAGGCTTGGTACAGTTAGTAATTGTCATTGAAGCTGAAAGTAATGAATTAGATGACTTGACTATTTGCATTTAATTTTTAAAAATTATATCACAAAACTGGGGCATGATGAAGGATTGCTGTCGAAAAGGAAAATAGGTGGGAATACGTCCTTAGGCATCTAAGGAAGAAAGATTGGGAGAAAAATGGAACCAATCTCCTTTGAGCTCAGTCTGTGAGCCAGGCACTGTTCCCAGCCTTCAGATGCACAAAGCCATTTAAATTTCATAAGCACTCTGTGAGCTAATGTGATATACTCATTTTTCAAATGGGGAAGCTAAGGTTCAGAGAGGTTAAGTAACTTGCTCAAGGGCACACAGCTAATAAGTGGCAGAGGCAGGAATAAAACCTGGCTCTGTTTGACTCTAGGGCAATATACTTGCCTTTGGTGGTGCCATCATGGGCTCTCTTCACTTACCTTTGCTATCTAAACATTTTTAAACCTCTCCTCTACGTATAGGTTTCAGAGCAGGGACCTACTTCTGGGAATGCTTGTCTGGATCTGCCCTGTATGAGGTTAGGGAAGGAGAGGAGAAAGGAAGCAGCAGGTACAGCATTGTCTTCCTACTAGAACTTCTTATAACCTATGGAGGAAGAGCACAGAAGTGACAGAGAGCTTGAGATCTTCTGGGTAAGGCTTTGAGAGCTATCGATAAACCCTAATCTTCTTAGAGCATTCTCTAATTGTGTTCTACAAATTGTCTCCCAAATAATTTTACTTTGTTCATCCCCACTGTTACCTTCATAGGTCTCCATCATCTTTCTCTTATAGACAGTTGTGACACCAAACATCACAAAATTGTGACGACCAAACAGGTGGTCGACTTCAGTCTTATTTCTGTCTGATCCATTCTAAATAGGACAGTTGATGGGATCTCTTCAAAACCAAAAGTTAACCATTTAAATTTCCAGCTTTGAATACCTCAAGGGCTTCCCTTTGCTATTTATTAGTATTATATTCGAACTTCTAAACATTCTTGACAAGGCCCCCAAATTTTGTCTTCTCTTTAATTCCCCATTTCTCACCACTTTTTTCTTGCTCTTTCTAACCAAAAAGAAATTATTTTTTTTCTAAAATTCTTCATGCTCCCCCTACCACAAGTCTTTGCTTGATATACTTTTGCTTGTCCTAATCCCCACACTTCAGATGATTCTTAAGGACATAGACACATGTTTTTACCTGCCTGGTATTTCCTACCTCTTCTGGAAATTGCACCTTGACTTTTCTTTGACGAATTGCCACTTTCAGACCATGTGGTTTAGTAGGAGTGTGACAATACCCCAGTTCCTGGTCACAGTGGATCTATGCAGAAATTGTGACTCAAGTCTGGACAATGAGCATAGCATTGAAGTTCTTGCTGGCACCGTTGGGAAAGAAGCTTTCTTCCCCTGGAGTGGTTTATCCAAAGCATGCAAAGCTGGAGCCTGTGGGGTCTTCTTTACCACTCAACTGCCCTTGAGAAAGCCTGCTTGAGAATAAAGCTCACACAAGGGAAAATAGAACCCAGAGACAAAGGCCATTTTTTTTTTGTTATTTCATTTTAGTGTCTAGATCTAGTCATGTCTAAAGCCGGAAACCCTGCATTTTTCAATTGTATGAACCAATATCTTTTCTTTTTTACTTTAGTCATTTTTAGTTAGATTTCTGCCACTTGCATTTAAAAAGGACCTGCCTTGAAACACTTGTCTCTCCAGTTAAAGCCTAAAGTTCTTTCTTCATGCCTATTTTATATATGAGAAGGTTTAAATCTCATTGTTATTTGATTAGTAACTTTTATTGAGCACCTACTAGGTTCTAGGTGCTGGAGAGTCAACAAAACAGGTAAAAACTTCTCAGGGAACATATATTAAGGTGGAAGAAAGAAGAAACAACCAATGTAAATAAAATACATGTTTATGAATGGTGACAAGAGTTCAGGAAAAAATAAAACAAATATGTGGAGAAATCCCAGCTATAAGTGGAAATGTAGGTGAATGCGGATTTTGTATAGAGTGGTCAGGAAAGACTCCACTGAGATGAAAACATTTGAGCAAAATTTTGAAGGATATGAAGGAATTATCTATGTGGCTATCTGTGTTCCAGGCAAAAGGAGCAGCACAATTAATGATCTAAAATGGGAACATGCTGATGGGTTACATGCTCCCGTAGTAATTCCATTTTACCTTTTCAATTACATATGTTAGGTCAATAGATAGTATATTAGAACATACTCTTTCCATTTATACCTTATTTTCTCTGTGTTTCAGTTTGAGGGTTTTACATTGATTGCTTTTTGAGTTGCTAATTTTTTCTTCTGCTAAGTTTGCTTTGCTGTTAAGTCCATTCATTGACTTCTTCATTTCAGATATTGTAATTTTAAGTTCTAGAGTTTCCACTTAGTTCTTTTTATAAGTGTTTCATTTATCTTCTAAAATTCCCCCTCTGACCACTAATCTGCACAAATTTTCTTCTAAAGTTCTTTAATATGTGTATAATAATCATTTTAAAGTTCTTGTTTGCTCATTCCCAAGTCTAAATCATCTGTGGGTCTATCTTTATTGACTATATTTTCTCTTGATTATGGGTCACATTTTCCTGCTTCTTTGCATGTCTCATAATTTTCAATTATGTGTTGGACATTTTGATTAAAAGAACAGTAGAGACTGAATGAGATGATACATTTTATTTTGTTTTCTCCAGAGAGCGCCCACTCTTTTCCCTATCAGGAAGCTAGGGTGAGAGGCTGATCATTCAGATCCCACCATGATCAAGCTGAACTGGGCTGAGTTGAAACCTTGTTTAGTTTTAGTTTACGCCTTATTTCAAATGAAATAACAGATATCTTTCATCTTCCATTATTCCAGTGTCCAACTTCCTATGCAGCCACTGGTGAGGGGCTTATCCATTGATCTTATCAGAATTTGGGCTAGGAGGAGGTTGATTTGCAGCTTTAGTACATTTCAGTTTATCTCCAGATTTAGCCTAAGCACTGCACAAGACTGCAAGATCTATCTCTGCTTTCCAGCTCCTCCCCCACAGCTGCTGGCTCAGCACAATTCCTGTGGGGGAGAACTGTTGTGCCAAAAGATTTATTATTGCACTTGGACTCTTTGAGATTCCAATCTGTCACACCAGCCCACATTGTCACTAAAAGCTCGGTTGGTTTATCCTTGTTCCAGCAAAGCTCCTCTGCCTATGGCAGGCCTTCTTCTCAACCCACACATATCCAGACCTGGCAATTGGCCCAGGTATGAGAGTAGCAGTTGCTCTTTCCTCACTGATGAAGGGCTCATTCCTCTCTGGCATTTGGTTCATTTAAACTTTTTTGCATCCACCACTCTTGTGTGACTTTAAAGAGAAATACAATATTGAGTTTATCTAGTGTTTTATTCTGTTATTGATAGGAACATTGGTCCTTGTGCATTCTAACTGGCAGTGGATCTCCTAGGATCTCCTACATTAACTTCAATCACAATGATAATATTTGTAATTACTTGTAAAATTTCTGACTCCTCAGCCAGTCTATAAGCTGCATGAGGACATTAAATTATGTCTGCTTTGTTCAGTGAAGTACACCTGGTATAGCCCAGGGCCTGGCATATTGTGGGTGCTCAGGTCTATCATCAAGGCCCTGTGTCAGATGCAGGAGCAGCAAGGTGGGTTAGGTCATCTCAGTCCTCAAGCTTCTCACAGTCGAGATGTGAGCCTGAGTCAGAGCACACCCATTCCTTCAATTGGCAAAGGACTTTCAAAGCCCAGGTCTTCAGGGCTGTGTCTCTAGATTCACTGTGCTTTGAGGAAATCATGACATGGGACATGGAGGGGCCAAAATTTCTTTTGTCCAGCTGAGCCTTCTTCCATGATCCATAATCCAAGTGCTGCTCTCCTCTTGGGGTGGGGGAACAGCCAGATTATGGAGGGTGGGTACCAAATTTATAGGAAGATTGTTGGTCTGGCTGACCCTGGGTCTATGGGTCTCGGCTTGAAGAGAATACCAATCCTAGAAGAGGCTCTGGTGAGTGAAGAACCATTGAAATTCAAGTTCACCAGCCTCTGATAGGGGAAACAAAGTCAAGATGAGAAAATCTTATGCCTCCAGGCACACCTGAGACATACTTTCTACTCAATCTTTATCAACAAGAAGAAGACAATAAGTATTTATTGGAACTGTCTGTGCTAGGCATTGTGCTAAACTCCTTTTGTTGTTGTTGTTGTTGTTTTTTGGAGACAGAGTCTTGCTCTGTTGCCTAGGCTGGAATGCAGTGGTGCAATCTTCGCTCACTGCAACCTCCTCCTCCTGAGTTCAAGTGATTCTTGTGCCTCAGCCCCATGAGTAGCTGGGAATACAGGCATACGCCACCACAACCAGCTATTTTTTTGTGTGTGTTTTAGTAGAGACAGGGTTTTGCCATGTTGGCTAGGCTGGTCTCGAACTGCTGGCCTCAAGTAATCTGCCTGCCTCAGCCTCTCAAAGTGTTGGTATTACAGGCATGAGCCACTGTGCCTGGGCAACTAAACTACTCATATATATTTTTAAATTCATGTCACTCTGTGAAAGCAGATGTTCTTATACCTATTTGGCAGGTGACACACTTGGGTTCAGATAGGTCAAGCTGCTTGCCAAAAGTCACACAAGAAAGTGAAGGAACCAGGATAGGAAACCCAGTACCTGATCTCAAAGCCAGTGATTTTTTTTTTTTTTTAGCCACTTCCAGGTCATTGTTTACCACTTCTGTGCAAGGAACTATAAATTCTATTTATAAATATTATTTCTAATTTTCTGAATTTGACAATAGGACATTTCTAAATAAGGATACTGATGTTTAGAAAAGATAAGGAATTTGCGTAGTGTCACTTAGCTAATATGTGCTACAGTGAAGATTTGATCCCAGGTCAGGAACTCCAAGACAAAATCGAGAGCTTTTCCCTTTTTCACCTGGATACTCTTCATCTGCTCATATCTGTCTTGGTTCTTTCTCTGCCCTGCTCTGTGCCCCACGAGCCTGACCTCTATGGACTGCACTGCAGGGCTCTTGCCATTTAACTTCTAGTCAGGTTTGGCCAGTTGGGGGAGTTGGAGTTTGGGAGGAGAGAGATGCTGGGGGTCTGAGTTCACCCTGTCCTCCCTGCTTTGTTGCGGTTTTGGTGATGGATGGATGTATCTCTTTCCACAGCTTCTGGTAGGTGGCCCCTTGTAAAGAACCCAGCTCTCGACTGGACCCTGATAGCAACTTTTTCTTCCTTTTTCCTTTTCGCCCTAGGAGTGGTCACAGCTTCTTGCTGTTGCTAGTGCCTAGGTTCCTCAACATTCCCTCTGGGCTGTCTGAATTCTGCCTACCCCTGTGTACCCATCATAGTCCCTTCGTTAAAAATCTCCTCAAAAATACCAGATGAGTGAGTTTCTGTTTGCTGCCAAGACCCTGACTGGTATAATTTCTAATCAGAGATCCAAAATTTGGGGAATAAGATTTCAAAAGCTAGCTTGGCTCAGAGCCTATTTTGAAAAACGATTCACTTCCTTCCAGAAAAACAGTTCCTATCTGGGCCTCAACTCACTGTCCACCCTCTACAGATCTCTGTGGTTTGACTGCAGGTTCTCCATCCCAGCCAAAGTGCCTGACCCCTGGGATTGGCAAATACCTGACATTTCTGGGCATCTGTGTCTCACGTCACCCTCTTGCTGCACTTCCATGGCACCAACCATAGTGGCAGCTGAGAGCAGAGACAATCTAATTAGACTCATTCTGGGTGTCAGTGGGAAGGGGAGGGACAGATGTCTCTTCCTTATAGCTGTGGGAGCTGTTCCTGCTTGAAGGCTGATGTATGAGTGGGATCTTTGGGTGGGAGCCCTCAGGAGAGCAACTTTCCAGCCTGTCTCGGCCAAGACGGGGGGAAAAGTTGGCTAAACATCTTGTCCTGGGGAGGGAGACTTCATTCCTTGTCATCCTAACCTGCTTCTCTTTTCTTGTCTCTGTCTCCTGACTCACCAGGCAGGCCTGATATGCATGTTTTAGGGATCCAGCAGGGCTTGAAAGCATAGATCAGGGCTGGAGAGTGGAGTAGGTGGGGGACCTGCTGTGAATCAAGACCAATGACAGGAGTTTTCTGGCAGACAGCAGGTGTTCTCTCTGTTAGTTGGTGGATAAGGCAAAAGGAAAGGAAGTGACATTCATGGTACATGCAGCGCTGATAGGAACCACTCGGCATGTGTTGGCTCATGTGGTCCTCAATGCAACCTTGGAGAGGGGCCGTGGTGATCCTTCTTTGTAGTTGACAGAACTGAGGTTTTCAGAGGTTATGCGATCTGCCCAATCCTGTATAGCTTGAAGAGGCAGGGCAGGGTGGTGAACCAAGATCTGGCTGACTCCTAAGTCTCATTCTGTCCCCTCTACTCACACCTCCGCAGGTCAGATGACTCTGCAAATGGCAATGACCAGTTGGCAGAGCTTCCTGAGGGAAGGCAGCCCTGCCTCCTTCTTCCCTGTATCTCATGCATGGTGCTAGACTCAGAGCAAGCAATGCTCCATGAATTCCTTAAGTCCTAAGCTGTCTGAGGCCTTAGAGATTATCTGGCATATCCCACCTTTATTATCCAGAGAAGGTGACCAAGGCCCTGAGAGGTAGAGAGATGTGCTGGACATCACACAGAGCATTGAATTTGAACCGAGCCTTACACATGGCCCCTAATGCTCTGTGTGATGTGCCCACCTCCCATCAGGCCAGGCACCATCTGCTCTCTGTCCATGCCTGCAGCTCTTCTCCCTGCCTTGTGCATCCAATAACACTTGCAGGCCAGCAAGGTACTGAGAGAGTTTACCTATCTATTTAAAAAAGTCACAGACCCAGACTTCTATCATTTCCAAATGTGGGAAGATCAGCCAACTGCCTCAAGCCTCATTGCATGGAGTAGGACTTTTCTTTGGTTCAGTAGAAGTCATTTAAATCTTTTGAATTTTAGATTTTTGGGCTATAAAATGGGAATAATGAGACTTCCTTCAGAGAGCTGTTTTGAGGATCAAAGAGATAATGGATGTGGCAAGACAAAAACTTTAAACGATGTCGAGCTGATGCAAGAGGCTGTGGCTGCCGCAGAATGTCTGTATGGGAAGAGGTTAGGGACCCAGTGCATTTATGCGGGGCTACTGGACAAACAGTTTTGAAGCTTGTTTGTATAGGAAACTATTTTGTTTTTAAATAAAATTACTTTGTTTATTTCTGGTGTCTTTGCTAAGTGGCTGATGGAGGTTGGGAGGACTTAGCCCTGCAAGCTACTCAATGCCTTGTTGGTTATTATAATGATATTACTGATTACCTACAATGGCCTTACATATCTTGCAGAGCCCAGAAGCTATCTTATTAATAATAGTTCTAGAATTGCAGTGTCTTATATGTGGCTACCAGTCACATGCAACTATTTTAATTTAAATCCATCAAACTTACATACAATTAACTATTCACTTCACTCATCACAGCAGACCACCTTTCCTAGCTGCATGTGGCTAGTGGTTGCTGTATGTAACAGCACTGATACAGAACATTTTCATCACTGCAGAAAGTTCTGTTGAACAGCAGAAAATGGACTGTTCTAGAATATCTGGCAATGCCAAAGCTGGCCAAATTGTCAGAGTGCATCTAGTCTAATTCCTGGCCAGTGAGGTGGCTCACGCCTATAATCCCAGCACTTTGGGAGGCCAAGGCAGATGGATCTCCTGAGGTCGGGAGTTTGAGACCAGCCTAGCCAACATGGTGAAACCCCGTCTCTACTAAAAATACAAAATAAATTTGCCTGGTGTGGTGGTGGGCACCTGAAATCCCAGCTACTTGGGAGGCTGAGGCAGGAGAATTGCTTGAACCTGGGAGGCAGAGGTTGCAGTGAGCTGAGGTCGCGCCACTGCACTCCAGCCTGGGTTACAGAGCAAGATTCCGTCTCAAAAAAAAAAAAAAAAAAAAAAAAAAAGTACGTCTAGTCTAATCTAATTCCTGATTTCACTGAGAAAGGAATGGAGGCCTAGAAAAGTACAATTGTCCTGGGATCCGGTGTGTTCAAAGTGCTCTGGTAGTGACTTCCAGGTCTTAAGTCATCAACTGATGCTCTGGGGGCTGAGGCCAGCAGCTTAGGGTGTTTCTGGAAGGGAAGGGAGGAGAAGGGTGTTTCCTCTTGGATCCGTAGAGATTTGGAATGGGATGTAGATATGGATGGGAGAGGCAGACACTTGCCTGAGTAGCGAGTCGAGGGGCGGATCGTTTCCCAGGTGACAGGTTGGCTCCCTCTTGAAGGATGCTGTGTCTGCGTTCTTAGGCCCTGCTGAGAAGCTTTGGTATAAGTCTATGGGGTGACTCTGAGATTCCTGGCTTGGAAGCTCCAATAGTTAGATGGCCTGGCCCACCAAAGCTGGGCTGGATTCTTATTCTGGCAGAATAATACAGAGACTTGGGAGTCACACAGACCTGGGGTCAAACCTGCACTCCGCTACCCCATGGCTATGAGACCCTGCGCAGGCAATTGGATCTATTTGAACTTCAATGTCTTCAGCTGGAAAATGAGAGTAATATTAATAGTTGTTCCCTCTTAGGATTGTGAAAAAGTTTTAAAAAATGGACAGATAAAATTGTATGTATTTATCATGTGCAACATGATGTTTTGAAGTATATATTTTAATACATTGTGGAATAGCTAAATCTAGCTAATTAACAAATGCATTACCTCACATTGTTATAATTCTTTTTCTTTTTTTTTTGAGCTAGGGTCTTGCTCTGTCACCCAGGCTGTACAGTGGCACAATCATGGCTTACTGCAGCCTCAACTTCCTGGGCTCAGGTGGTTCTCCCACTTCGGCCTCCAAAGTAGTTGGGACTACAAGTGTGCACTACCATGTCCGGCTAATTTTTTGTATTTTTTGTAGAGACGAGGTTTTACCATGTTGCTCAGGCTGGTCTTGAATTCCTGGTCTCAAGGGATTCACCAGCCTTGGCCTCCCAAAGTGTTGGAATTGCAGGCAAGAGCTACCATGTTTGGCCAGTTATCATTTTTGTGGTGAGAACACTTAACATCCACTCTGTTTTTCAAGAGTACAATATGTAGTTGTTGACTATAGTCACCATGCTGTGCCATATATCTCTTGAACTTATTCTTCCTATGTATCTGTAATTATGTATTCTCTGACCAACTCTCTCCAACCCACCCTCCCCACTAATGACCACAGCCTCTGGTGACCACTCTTCTACTCTCTACTTCTATGCATACAAGGGAGATCATGCAGTATTTGTCTCTTTGTGCCTGGCTTATTTCACTTAACATAATGCCCTACAGGTTTATCTTTGTTGAAAATGACAGAATTTCCTTCTTTTTATGCTGAATAATATTTCATTGTGTATATATACCACATTTTCTTCATCCATCCATTTGCTAATGAACACTTAGGTTGCATGTAGAATATTTAGTATGGGGCCTAGCCCCAGTGGATACTCAATAAATATTAAATAATATCAATAGAGGGGGTTGAATTTGCAAGACTTCCAAATATGCCCAAATATGATTGTTATCTGAATTACATAGTCTTGATCTGAAGCTATTGCAAAATCTGTTGCAGGGCTTAACATGTTACACATTCACCTTCATGCGTTTTTCATGTTGAAACAATTTCTTTGGCTCCAGCTGTTGCCAGGGAGGAAGCATTTCTTTGGCCCTCCTGGGGTAGTAAGCACACAGCTTTGGGGGTGGAACAGGTTGAGAACCTTAAGTTCATTTGGATGGTGGGCATGAGAAGATGCTGTCTCTTTGTGATCAGGGCTCACCCAGCCACAACTTTTATCTCAGGCCCATAACTAGTGTAACAGCACCTTATGAAGTTTCTGAGACTGAGTCTAGAATTTTTACTGAGACCTGAGCAACAAATCTGCTGTAATCATAAGAGCCAGGTATTCACCAGACCAAGGCTTTGAAGAGAAGCAACTAAAGAGGAAGTCCATTTTAATCTCTGAGTACACAGGACACAGTGTTCCTGATGAAGGCTCTCACCAACAAAGGTCAGAGGAGTGGAAATGGGTATGCATTAACACCTACGGTTGTCCATATCACTCAAGCTAGGAGAGATGCAAGTTGCAGGCATATTCCTCCACAAGGCAGTTGAAGGACCATCCAGGTGGCCAAGGTGGGTGCATTATGGAAGGAAAGAAATTCCAGAATGAGCAGCCCCTCAAGAGGTAACGATCTGCTCTTAGACAATGGTTTCGAGGTCCTGTCTTTTGTTCTAGGGGGTCTGAGAAATCATGTCTTGTAACCAGGGATTTCAGTCACACATTTATTTATTTATTTATTTATTTATTTTTGAGCTGGAGTCTGCCTCTGTTGCCCAGGTTGGAGTGCAATGGTGCAATCTTGGCTCACTGTAACCTTTGCCTCCCAGGTTCAAGCAATTCTCCTGCCTCAGCCTCCCAAGTAGCTGGGATTACAGGGAAGTGCCACCACGCCTAGCTAATTTTTTTTTTTGTATTTTTAGTAGAGATGGGGTTTCACCATGTTGGCCAGGCTGGCCTTGAACTCGTGACCTCAAGTGATTCACCCGCCTTGGCCTCCCAAAATGCTGAGATTACAGGCTAAGTCCCTGCGCCCAGCCAGTCATACATTTTATTCAACCCTTTTCCCATTATGGACATGAAAGGAATCCAAGCACATGGGTATAGATCACTTCCATCCAGTAGGATGCCCCAGTGATTATCTGCTCTCTAGAAGATAAAGACAGCCAAAAAATAACTTTACTTCTGGTTATTTCACTCAGTCACTTTCTTATTTGCCCGTTTATTTAACACACATTCGTTGGGTATGTAGTGAATTCTACTTCCATCAGTTTTCTCAACCATACAATGGGAATCCTATTAGAACCTAACTCACTGGGCTATTGTAAGGATTAAATTAAGTAATGCACATAAATCTTTAAGCAAAAATCCTGAAAACAGAGTGTGTGCCTAATAAAAGCTAGTGATTATTATGGCTACTATACAAGAGGTACTGTGCTGGGCATTGAAGCTACAGAGAGGTAAGGCCAACTCTCTGCTCTGGGAAAGTTCTCTGCCTAATGGAAAAGATGATAATTATCAGTAGAAGCATGCTCCAGCTACAATAGGAATAAAGTAGAGGGAGTGACTACCTTTGTATGAAAGACAGAACAGATTTAGAGAAGAGGGGCATTTCAATGGGGTTTTGAAGAATGGATAAAAGTCCTCCATGTGGAAGGTAAGGATGGCTTTTTCTGAAGAGGGGTCAGTACGTGTGAAAACACACAGCTCTCTTGCCTTTCTCTCTATCTCTTAGGCTGGGGCCCTAGACAGACTTGCCAAGTAGCTGACTCCCTTTGTATTAGGGATTCTCAGTGCTCCATCAGCCCAAACTGAACTCTGCTGGCTCCTCTTGGGACCTAGGTGCTATGACCTGGGAACCAAACTCAGCTTGGCTTTGCAGTTGATATCTCCTCACAATGTTGATTATATGCTGTTGGCTGGGCTCCTCCCAGGTTGACCTCCCTGGTAGACTCAGAAGACCCCCTCATCGCTAACCCTGTCAAAAATAGAACCCTCATATCTGCTCTAAAGTTTGATTTGAAAAAGGATGTCTGACACCAGGCTGAGGAATGTGGAGAATCTGAGAAGGAAAAATTGCTTTACTATAGTTCCTGAGTGAGGGGCAGAGGCAAGATCAGAACTCAGATTGGTCTTATTCTAAAGCCACAGTACAACTATAGTATTTACTCTTAATATCCCCCAAGTCACAGCCCTTTCATACCTCCTTCAAGGACCCTTCCATTCATTCATTCTTTAGGAAGATACCATGTGCCAGGGACTCTGTTACATGCTTGGGATGAAAATGAACAAAACAGAGTCCTTGCTTTGTGCCTTATGTTCTAATCAGGATATTGGGGAATGGTAAAGTCCCTACCTTCACGGTGTTTAATTTGAATGGACGTGACAGATAGTAAGTACATAAGCAAAGCTAGGGCTAGGCACCATGAGTGGGGCAAACATGGTGCGTGATAGCAAAGGAAGTGGGGAACCCACTTTGGCCATCAGAGAAGTCCTGTGCAAGTAGATGGCATTGATCAGAGTCTTAAAGGATGAAGAGGGGAAGCATCACCCTGTCCAAGTAATGCTTGCTGGTACTCTTGGCTGGAACAATTTTGGGCTGCGTGTCTTGGAAAACTGGCTCTGCATGTAGGATTCAGAAGACAGAAGCCCTCCCTTCCCACCTCAGTGACTTGTACTGTTCTCCCTGCCTTCTTGGCTCTGTGTAAGGCCTCCTGGGTCTTGTCTAATGGGTCAACTTCTGTGTCCAGAGAAAGTTTGTGGGTCACTGTTCCTGGGAAGTTCTTTGACCCCTGTCTCTGCACCAGGCAGAGTTAAGGCCCTTCTGTGTTTGCAGGGGTAATGGTTACAACTATGGGCTCATTTACTCCCTGCCAGTCTGTGAGCGTCTTGAGGGCAGAAACAGTGCTGGGTTCACCTCCATTGCCCAGTACTTAGTTGGACACATGAGTAGGAGGTGCATAATACACCTGTGGCATGAAAGAATAAGTGATTTAGCTCCCTGAGGGCAGGAACCACATCTTCTAACTCTTTGGACCTCTTTCTTGTCCATCTCTGCCCCTGCAGTGCCTAGTACAAACTGAGAACCTGATAAATGCTTATGGAATAAATGATTATTTTAATTACTCAATGAGTCACCACAGGGTTCCCTTACATAGCACTTATTCTGGTGCATTTAAATGTTCATTTATAAATAATTAACTTTCTCACCAGGAGACTTGGAGAAAGGAGTCACACAGGGAGGGAAGGGCTGGGAGAAAAGCTTTAAGCTCCGAGGTTAGGCAGGACAGTGGAGAGGAAGGAATGAGGGCCAGAGCCTGGGATCCTGGGCACCAACCCTCACTAGCAACACAACTTCAGGCTCTCATAGCCGTCTGCACATGGGGAGAATATTTTTGCTTTAATTGCTTCTTGGATTGGTTGTGAGGATTGGATGTATTCAATAATCTTCTAAGACTGGGGATACGATGGTGCACCTAGCATATGAGCTCCTGTCTTCAAAGGGCTTATAGTAAAATGAGTTAATCATGGTAGACTTCATGTGGGTGGCTTCTTATGAATCACACTTCCTGTGTAGTCCCCTCCCGCCTGGACTGTGGGTGTGGCCATGCGACTGACTTGAGCCAATGGGACATTAGTAAACATAATATAAGTAGAGGATCGATATGCATTTGCACATTGGGGCCCCTCCTCTTGAAACACTCACTCTGGGAAACCAGCCATCATGCTATGAAAAAAGCTTATGTTAGACCACTGAATGACAAGAGACCATGTGGAGAGAGTGCCCCGGAGGGTGAGAGGCTAACCTGGACGTTTCAGCCTCAGTGTTGCTCTCAGCTAAGCTCCCAAGTGTGTGAGCAACCTCAGCTGCACCATGTGGAGCAGAAGAACCGGCCAGTCAAACTCAGTCAGCCACGGAATTGCAGAAGTTTTACATCGTAGTCGTTTTCAGCACTAAATTAGCATTGATAACTAAAATGGAAATATACATGAATGTGCATTATACAAATGCAAACTGCTATCTCTGAAATTCATTTCCAGGGGAAACTACAGAACTTGGAAAAGCTGAATAAATGTAAGCTAATGGAAAAATGTAACACTAACAATTTTTATTTATGTATTGAAAGCTTATAATGTGCCACAAAACTCACTGATAATAATAATAGGTCTCCATTTATTGAGGTTTTTCTATGCACTGCTTGCTGTGCTGAGTGACTTACATGAATCATCTCATTTGATCCTAAAAGAGCTCCATGAGGTAGCACTGTATTGACACACATCTTTAATACAGAAAGGGCTGAGCCACAGAGAGGTTAAGTTACACAGCCAGTAGGTGGCAGAGCCAGGATTCAAGCACTGGCTAACTCTAGCCTCTTGCAACTCAAAAATGTGGTCCACGGACTGGCAGCATGGGCTTCATCTGGGAACTTGTTAGAAATGCTGTCTCACCCCAACCCTAGACCCACTGAATCAGAATCTGCAGTTTAACAAGATCCCCAGGTGATTTGTGTACATATGTAAGTTTGAGAAGTGCTGGTCTGGACCACACTTATGTTTTGCAGGTTAACAAGCTCCCAGGTGATTCTTATGCTTGTTAAGTTTTGACAGTCACAGGCCTAACAGAGTAGCCTTGTTTCTAAAGGACCCAGACCTGGACTCTCTCCACACTGTGAAGTAGGCAAAGTTGAGCTTTTGGGTAAGGACTCATGTGACATAATGAAAATAACACGCCTTTTAGTGCTTGGCCAACTTGAATTTGAAGCTACCTCTGCCATCTGTTGTTGGCTGTGGTAATGAGCAAGTTACTTCTTACCACCTCAACTTCCTCATCTGTAAAATGGATGCGATGATACTTAATTCATTCTCACCTTCACCCTCCTTGATTTGACCTACCAGAGGAACCATCCGTCCTTGTGTTTTGATTAGGAGGTTTGTCATTAACTTTCTATAATATGAGCCCATCTGGAGCATTTATAGTGTCAGGTAATAGAGAACCTGGCCCCTCGGCCACTGCTGTCCCTTACGTGTGAGACAAGAGTGTTGGCTGCCATCATCTTGAATGAATGGTAACATGGTTTGGCTTTGTTTCCCCACCCAAATCTCATTTTGAATTGTAATTCCCAATGTTGAGAGAGGCACCTGGTGGGAGATGATTGGATTATGGGGGCGGATTTCCCCCTTGCTGTTCTTGTGATAGTGATCTCACAAGATCTGGTTGTTTAAAGGTATGGCACTTCTGCTTTCACTCCCTCTCTCCTGCTGCCATGCGAAGATGTGCTTGCTTCCCCTTTGCTTTCCACCATGATTGTAAGTTTCCTGAGGCCTCCCCAGTGATGCCTCCTGTATAGCCTGCAGAATGGTGAGTCAATTAAATCGCATTTCTTTATAAACTACCCAGTCTCAGCTAGTTCTTTAGAGCAATGTGAGAAAGGACTAATACAAATGGGCTGACTGGGCATTTGATAGCTCAAGATGAAATCTGGTGACGTGTGTGTGTGTGTGTGTGTGTGTGTGTATGTCAGGGAGGGGAAGAAGTGGAAGGGTCCTGGACAGTATGAGTTTCACCTCAATTTCCAAGGATGTCGTTTATTCTTCCCTCAGGTCACCTGGGTTAACTGGGAGGTGATTTCTAAACCAACTAGGAGTTCTTAGCTGTGGGAAATGGTTTTGACCATTTTGCTTTCTTTTAATGAGGTCTAGGAATTCAGTTTTAGGAAACAGAAGTAAAAGTACTTTGAAAGTGAAAAACGGAAAAGTCATAAGTTCAAGCATGCACGGTAAATTAATAAGGGAGATGCTTTTTGGACCAAGGTGGGAGTATGCTCTGGGCCCCTCAAATCCCACTAGAAGGTCCCTACTTATACTGTGCACATAGAAGGTGTTGAGGTGGGGGTCAGCTGTGTCGCTCTGGCCCTGACTGCTATTTGCCCAGCAGACCGATGCTTACCTCCTACTTTTAGGATGGGCCTGGGGGAGACAAGCTTAGAAGGCAGCCTGCTGGTGCCCTGGGGAGAGAATGTTTGGCAGCAGCAACTAGGAAGGAATTTGCCTTCTTGCTTAGCAGTGCAGACCAGAATCTGTGATGTGCATTTTCAGCTCAAACACCATGCCTGCATTCTTTGTGGTCATTTACACCACTTTTTTTTCTCTCCCCCTCTCAATAGCTTCCCTTTAGGCATGGTTATTAATACCTCCCTCCCTGTGAAATAGCTTGGGTTCTGCGAGGCAGGAGCTTAATGGGAAGGGAGATTGCAACCAGCATTTAATCCTGGGCATCCAAGGATGTGAGCAATGGTTGGTTTTGTGCACTAATCTGCTTAATAAGCACATATCCTGGGAAACCTGAGGACCACTGGGAAGCTACTGCTGGAGATTAGGAGGGCGGCCAGGGTGGTGTTTTGCTATTTCAGACCTGACTGTGTGGAAGGCCTGTTCAAGGCACTCGGTGCATATAGTACATGGTTTAATTCTCACCCCAGTTATTCGAGATGGATATGATTATCTTTGTATTGCAGATGAGGGAAAGGACTCAGAAAGACTAGAAAACTTGCTCAAGGTCACACGACAAGTGGTGGAGTCAGGATTTGTAAGTCTACCTGACTTCTTTTTAGCAGATGTGGTTAGTGGGACTTCAGACTTTGGAAAACAGAGAATCGGAGCATGGAAGGGCCTTCAAGTTTGTTTAGTCCACCTCTCCACTGAATGTATGAATCCCATTAATACCATCCTCACCAGTGGCCATGCAACCTTCACCACTTTAACTCCTGAGTGACAGGAAGCTCACTACTTTTCAAGGCAGCTGGTTCCTTTGTTACACAACTTTATGCTGACAAAATTCCTTCCACAGCATCTCCGTTGCTGGGTCTTCCACCTAGGGTCCTGGCTTTAGCTTGCTCCTGGGGCCTCCTCCACACACAGCTTTTTGGAGGCTGGGGCCTCACTGCCTTTGCTCCCTGATCTTCTTCAAGCAACCCAATCTGGTTCATTCAATTCCTTGGCTGTGCCATTGTAGATAAAGGAGCCTGCCTGACATTGTTCTTTCCCAAAAAGGGCTGATTCATCCAAGGGAGTAGACTGAATACCAGAGCTAAAGGAAGCATGTTTAAGAAGCAGGAACCAGAGCCAGCCTAGCAGGGAAACATGGTGTTTAAATAGCAAAACTCTCATTCATTCTGCTTGCCTGATGGTGCACAGCTAGTCAGTGGTGGGTGGTGGGGAGGGGATTGTGGGAGTGGGGAACTCAAATCTAGCTGGGTTGACCCCGAAACTTGCTTACCTTCCATTCTGCATGCTTTTTCCTCTGGGCTTGCTGCAGTAACCACCTCTGAGTTGCCTGCCAGTAGACCCCTGCCTCTTGATCATCCAAGAACAGGGGTACCTCTGCAAGGTGAGTGCCCACAAGCCGAGGAGCTTCTGGGCATATCCCTCTTGGCTAAACACTGACTGTGCATACCCTGGTTTCCCAGGAGGGTGCCACAATGCAAATAATCCTTCCTGGCTTCCTGATTCATCCCTGAGACTCTGCCTGTTGGAATTTCATCCTGGCAGGAGGCAGAGGTGGGGAGTGAGGGATACTCCAGAGTGTAACTAACCTGCTGTGTACAAAGGCTGCTTCCCTCTCTGGGCCTAGCCTTCCTCTTCTGCAGCACAAGAGCTCTGGGCCAGGTCAGCCACTCTCAGTGGCTGCCTGCTCTTCCAAGCCGCACTCCTGGAGATTGCCATTCAACTGAGTCAGACACTGAGATTTTTTAAAAAAACACCGCAGGGGATTCTAATGTGCAGCCAGACTTATGAACCAGGGGGCTAGAGAATCATTTCTTTTTTGGATTTGTAAAAAGATTTGGAGTTTTCCCAATTTCACATATGCTGTCTCATTTGATTGTCACAAGCAGAGATGGGTATGATAGGAATACCGGTTTCCACTTCGGAGATGAGAGTGTTTAAGTAACTCATCCGAGGCCGTACCGAAGGAATAGAGCAGAATTGGAATTCAAAATTAGAAATTCTGATTCTAGATTCTGGGCTCTTTTCATGACACCAGGCTGCCATCTCTCTATCCCCTCTTGGCTCTAACAGCTATGTGCCATCCACTGCCAGAGGGGCCGGCATTCTCCATGAGAGCCTTCTGCTATTCAATAACAACAATAATAACAAATGTAATAAGATAGCGATAATGCATATTTTACTGGGCATCCACAATGTGCTGGAGTCTCTGTGTGCATTGCTTCTTGTAGTTCTCCCGGCAACCCTGCTAGGTGGATGTGTTACTCTTGGGTTCACAAATGAGGAATCTGAGGCACAGTGAGACTTAGCAATTTGTGCAGGTCACACAGCTGGCTCATGGCAGAGGTGGGAATTTGAATCCTGGTTTCTCTAATTTGCTAAGTCCCAGCACTGTCCCCCACACCACACTGCCTCCATTCAGAAGCATGGCAAGATTCAGACCTTCCTGCCACCCAGACCCAGAGCACCTCTTGCCTCAGAAATGACTATCAGTCACTCCTGGGTATTGAGGGATCACTCCTTCCTTGGCAAGGCTTGGCTGAGCCCCATGGCTTGGATTCAATTACACAATCGAAAAGACAAACAAATTAAAAGAGGAGCAGGGCTCTGTAAACAGCTTCTTTAATGACTCTGAGGACCGAGCCTGCCTCTTCCCTTTGGCAGAAGGATCTCTTGGCATCTGGGATGCCTGGGTTTTCAAACAGGCCTCAGCAGTGCATTAGGTCAGTGTGGATGGTCAGGTGCAGCTCATGGTCAAGGCCAGAGTGTGCAGCCCTTAGAATATGATACACATTGCTCTAAAAGGGACGTAGAGTGTGTGTTTGGACCCAGAAATTCTAAAAACATAATGGCATATCTAAATCCCTCTCACAGGGAGCTTGTTAGGAAGTACAGGTTCTGGAGCCCCACCCAGAGATGCTGCTTCTGTAAGCCTAGGAGTATGGGCCCAGGAATCTGCATATTAAACAGATCCTTAAGTGATTGAGATTTGACTTGGCCTTGACTATGTGTTTGGGAACTCCAAGTTCTTCCTGACTTAGATAAGGTCCAAATTGGGGAGTGACTTACTGGAAGTTACAGGTCAGCAGGAGAGCTGGAACCTTCATTCAGCACTCTCTACATAACCTTATCCTATATTTTCAGAATGTATTCTGTAGTGCCAGGGATGTGGGCTCATGGTAGCCAAGTGTATTAATTTCCTGGGGCTGCTATAACAAAGTAACACAAACTGGGTGACTTAAAAAAGAGAAATTTGTGTCTCACAGTTCTGGAGGATAGAAGTTCAAAATCAAGGTGTCATGCCGGGTACGGTGGCTTACACCTGTAATCCCAGCAGTTTGGGAGGCCAAGGCGGGCAGATCACTTGAGGTCAGGAGTTCAAGACCAGCCTGGCCAACATGATGAAACCCAGTCTCTACTAAAATACAAAAATTAACTGTGTGTGGTGGCACACACCTGTAATCCCAGCTACTTGGGAGGCTGATGCAGGACAATCGCTTGAACCTGGGAGGTGGAGGTTGCAGTGAGCTGAGATCATTCCACTGCACTCCAGCTTTGGTGACAGAGTGAGGCTCTGTCTCAAAAAAAAAAAAAAAAAAAAAAAAAAAAAAAGGTGTCAGCAGGTCCACACCGTCTCCGAAGGCTCCAAGGGATGACCCTTCCTTGCCTCTTCCAGCGTTGGTGGTTGCCAGTGATCCTTGGCTTCCAGCTGCATCACTTGAATCTCTGTCTCTGTCATCACCCAGCCTTCTTTCCTGTGCAGCTGTGTCTCTGTGTCTCTCCCCTTCTTATAAGGACACCAGTCACTGGATTCAGGGCCCATCCTAATTCAGTATGACTTCATCTTAAAATAGTTACATCTGCTAAGACCTTGATTTCCAAACAAGGTCACATTCTGAGGTTCTGGGTAGACATGAATTTTGGGGGACACTAATCCACAACACCACATAGTACACTCTTTCACCCCAACTCTTCAATTGGGGGGACTTTTCTCTACCTTTAAGTCTCAGGGAAGAAGCCACCTCCACAGGAAAGCCCTCCCTGACTACTCCATCTATACCAATGATTCTTTATTACAGCCTTCTATATGCCTCCCTCATAGCAGTATGGCCATTTTCTCTGTACCCCTAGACCATAAACTCCTTAAGAATTGGAACTGTGTCAGTGCTGTTCTCCTAGTGCCAAAGTAGCCCTTAGCATGTGGTCAATGGCTAACTATTGAAGGAATCAATCCCCGTTGGTATCAGACAAGGTGAAGCAGCCGCCCTATTGGGCTCACACCTGCCTCCACCTTGCTGTGTGATCTTGCGAAGTCTCTGAGCAGCTTGGTGCCTCAGCAGCCTTATTTGCTAGAGGAGACCCGGTAGGAATCTCTCCAAGATCCCATTATTTTAAGAGAGATTTGTCCCTGTTTCCATCCTCATGACAAGTCCTTGGCATTGAAAAGCCCTTTCCTAGTAGGTATCCTGTTCCAGCCATTCTCAGGGGCCCTTTAGCTACAGTTTTCTATTAGCTAATTTGGATGATTTTGCTTTTCTCAGCATTTATAAACATTCTCCTTTTCTTCCCCACCTCCCTCAACCCCAGCCACGTTTTTTCTTTTTCCCAACTCTGCTGTTATGAAGTGAGGTCAGGTGCTCACGATACCCAGTGAGTCTAATTACCCGGGAAAGTAATTAACATTTCTAATAGAAACTGCCACTGCTTATTTTCATCGGGGCCGCACAAAAGCAATAAGGTAAAAGAGTTTCGTAATTAAAGACTCGTTATTGTGGGCTCCCCATTCCATTCTGCAACGAAGAAGACTTTTGCGGGGGAAATGAGTGTGCTGTGCTTCATGGAGATGGACGGGGTCCCTGCTGGAAACCCTCTCATTGTATTTCCCATCTCCTACTCAGTTTCCCTCTTTATCTGGGGCTCCATCTTCTGCCTTCCTGTCCCTCTTCTCTTAAAGAAAGCCTCATTTCAGAAGCAAAGATTGAACAACACATAAAGATGCTCGGCTGTGATCTGAACGATTCCAAGTGCAGCTTGGAGATGTGAAGCCAAGTTATCAAGTGTAAACATACAGGAGCTAGTGCGGGAGGGGTGGAACAAGAGCACATGGAGGAGCCACATGGATTCTGGGTGAGGTATGCAGAATGGGAAGGGGAATGTTACATGGATCCTCGTTTCTCCTGGCTTTGTTAAAGAATCCAGACAAATCGCTGACATTCTCTGAGGCAGTTTGTTCATCCTTAAAAAGGGGATGCACTTAACTGGATTGGGAGGGTGACATGAGAGGCTAAGTGATAATAATTATTTTGGCTTAGTTTTATTGAGGACTTAGTATGTGTTTGGCTCTTCTGGGCATTTCACAGGGACCAACTCATTTCATTCACATAGCAACCCGATGAAGTTAGGTGCGTTTCTTTTCCTCATTTTCCATAGGAGGAAATTGAGGCCCACAGATGGTAGGTAACTTGCTCTAGTCATGCAAGTAACTGAGAGGACTGGATTCTAGTGCAGCTGTGCTCTTAATCCCTCTCCCACAGTCACACGAGATTGTATTGTTATTTTACCAGCAAGGAGTGCTACTAAGGATGATGGATCTGTGACCTGTGTTTGTAAAGGTGTAGTAGGGGCCATGGCGGGATTTCTGGCCATTCAGCTGCTTGCCAAGAAGCCAGGTCACCGGAGGTGTAGATTCTAGTCTGAGTGCTTGAGACACTACCATTGAGACCCCACAGGCCCACAGTAGTGGGATGTGAAACAAAGAGAACAAGCTCTGAGGCCATGGGGACCTGGGTTCCAATCCTTGCTCTGTCCCTTACTAGCTGTGTTATTTTGGGAAATTAACCTCTCTGAGCCTCAATTTTCCCCACCTACAAAATGGGAAGCCCCATAAAATGATTGCGACCATTCAAGAAAATAATATTGGTAAAAATGCCTGGCACATAAGAGCTATTCAATAAATTGCAACCCCTTTTCTCCCTCTTGATCTGTTATCTTCTGCATTTAATATTCATTCACTCTCAAAATAATCTTTGCCTGTCTGTTTTGGAGTGAGACCTATTTTAGGCCTGGAGAAAAGAGTGATGAAATAGTGAAAGTCTTTGCCTTCTTGGAGCTTACAGATACTGGGGATGAAAGTTGATAAATGAGAAAACAACTATTATGTATTAGAACATCAGGTAGCAAGCTTTTCCCCCATGTGAACTGTGGGGATAAGCGTATTTGACTAGTTTATTTCTGAGATGCCATTTATATAACAATACGTTGTTATTCTAGGTTGATTTTTTTGAACTTCGGCAACTGAAGGCCTCAATGGAGGCTGGCTTAACTGTAAACACTGTGCTGCAGCTTACAGAGGGCTGGAAAGAGAATGGAAGGGGAACAAGGGGTTAGAGAAGGAAAACCTTAAGGCTAGGACTCCACTGAAGCCAAAAAAGAAAGAAAGAGACAAAAATAAAACAAAGGGAAGAGAAAAAATGAGTCCACGAAGAACAGTGAGGCTGAGACCACGAAGAGCAGGAAGTAAGGGTAAGTGTTGAGACCGATTTGGGGGAGGAGAAACCAACTCCAAGCCTCCGAGAGTAGCAGGAGTCCAACAGTGGGTGTGGATGGGGCCTCTGGAGGGAGTCAGCTGTGTAACTGTAGGCTTCCGTAATCTCACCAAGCTTTAGCTTTCTCATCTGCAAAAAAGGCATCATATCATATATTAGTTATCTATGACTGCATAACAAATGGCTCCAAAACTTAGCAGTTTGAAAAAGCAAGCATTTACTGTTTTATAGTTTCGAAGGACTAGGGATCTGGACATGGCTTAGCTGATTCTCTGGCTCAGGGTCCCTCACGAGGCTGTAATTAAGGTGTCAGCTGATGTTGGAGCCATCTCAAGACTGGGAGAGGAGCCACTTACTGGCTCAATGAAGTGGTTGTTGGTGGGATTCAGTTCCTTCTGGCTTGTTGGACTGAAGCCTCAGTTTCCCTCTGGCTGTTGGTTTGAGGCATACTTTGATTTCTTCCCATGTGGGCCTCTCCCTAGGGGGAGCTCACAACAGGGCAGCTGCTTCCATCAGACTGAGCTATTTCATTCGTTAGAGGTGAGTCACTAACTCTGGTCCACACTCCAGGGGAGGAGATTACCTAAGGGTATGAATTCCAGAAAGCAGGGGTCACTGGGAGCCATTGTAGAAGCTGCCTACCGTACACAACCTCCCAAGACTTTTGTGAGGATTAAGTGAGAGGATTCAGGGAAAATCTTTAGCACATTGCCTGGCACATAATAATTTTCAGAATCAGTTCTTCTTATTGCTATTATTATGAGGGTTTGATCAATGTCCATTGCTAATACTCTTCTGTAGATGATAACAAAGAAGGAATGCGTATGAGTAAACAAAAAGGGGACGGTGTATCAGTTATCTATTTCCACAATAATGCTGCATAACACACAATCCCCAAACCACTGTGCCATTCTATAAGAACACTTATTTTTGCTTACGGGTCTGTGGATTGACTGAGAGGTTCTGCTAATGTGAGCTGACTTGTCTCTGCTCCCTGTGGTCTCTCACCCTCCAGCAGGCTAGTCTGGCCTTGTCCTCAGGGAACCTTTTTCAAACAGGGTTTCAAGACAGCAAGTGGAAGTCCATAGGCTTCTTGAAGTGTAGGCTAAAAACTGGCGCGCCATCACTTCAGCCACTTCTATTGACTAACGCACATCACAAGACCAGCCCAGACTCAGCGGGTGGAGAAATGGATTCATCTTCTTAGTAGAAGGAACTGCAAAGTCATATCAAGGGGCATAGATCTATGGAGAAGAAGAATTAGGGTTTTTTTATTTTTTGCAATCAATTTACCATAAACTGAAAAATAAAGAGATGTGGAATTTAAATGCTATGTTTTCTAAAACATTTGGGTAATTCTGAGGGAAAAATCAGAACAGATATTGAGTACCATTAGTGAGTTTTGGATTTTTTTTTTCTTTTTTTTTTTGAGATGGAGTTTCACCCTTGTTGCCCAGGCTGGAGCACAGTGGTGTGATCTCGGCTCGCTGCAACCTCCACCTCCCAAGTTCAAGCGATTCTCCTGCCTCAGCCTCCTGAGTAGATGGGATTACAGGCACCTGCCAGCATGCCCAGCTAATTTTTTGCATTTTTAGTAGAGATAAGGTTTCACCATGTTGGTCAGGCTGGTCTTGAACTCCTGACCCCAGGTGATCCACCCGCCTTGGCCTACCAAAGTGCTGGGATCACAGGTGTGAGCCACTGCACCTGGCCTGGACCTTTTACCAAGTTGTTCTGACACTGTGTAAATATAATACTAACAATGAAATTATAAGAACATTTTAAAATTCACTCATTCATTCATTTGTGCATTCATTCACTCATCAAACATCTAGAGCATGGGTTGGCAAACTTTTTCTGTGAAGGGTAAGATAGTAAATATTTTAGGGTTTGGGGCCATACATTCTCTGTTGTAACTACTTAATTCTGCCATTGGAAAGCAGCCTATCATTGCTATGTAAATGAATGGGCATGGCTGTGTTCCAGTAAAAGTGTATTTATGGACACTACAATTTGAATTTCATATAACATTCATGTGGTGTGAAATATTATTTAAAATTTTCAATTATTTAAAATGGTAAAAACTATTCTTAGGGCCAGGCATGGTGGCTCATGCCAGTAATCCCAGCACTTTGGGAGGCTGAGGCAGGGAAGGATCACTTGAGCCCGGGAGGTCGAGGCTGCAGTGAGCCATGATTGTGCCATGGCACTCTAGCCTGGGTAACAGGGTAGAACCCTGTCTCAAAACAAACAACCAAAAACAATTCCAAGCTTCTGGGTCATAAAACTCAGGCAACAAGCCTGATTTGGTCTGTGGGCCACAATGATGGTCTAGGATACCTGTGGAGTATCTATCTCTCTGTAACTGACAGCTGTCTTTTCAGAGCCCTCTTGCATATGCAATCTCCTTTTACCCTCATTATAAACCTGTATCTCTGATACAACAGAAAGAACAGCAACCAGGGGCTTAATTCTACTGCCTCGGGAAGTACATAAGGTGGTGGTAGGCCTGTTGAAACATCACCACGTCTGTACGTAGCAGGATAAGCTCAGAATTTGCAGGACCCAGTGCAAAATGAAAAATATTGGTTTCCTTGTTCAAAAATTGAAGCTTCAAAACAACAACAGCAGATAATTAAACCAAGCAACCAAGCGTGGGCCCTGTGTTACAGTACAGGTCATATGCCCACGCGGTGGCTTCCTGTTGGCTTTGAGCTTGCCTTCTAGTATGTTTTAAAAAACTGGCTAATAAATTCTACCCCCCTAGAGTTATTTTAGGGATTAAGTGAGCTAATGAATGCTAACTTTTCTAGCATGTTTCTTGATATGTAATAGGTCAATAAGAAAAGTTCCATGACACTTTCTGGCACTAGACTTTGCCTCCCTTCTACCACTGGTGTTTTTATGCCATTGGTGTCAACATGGCGGCAGGAGGTTTGGGTAAAGCAACAGCTCAAGGAGGATTTGCACTTCCATTTTTAGTGAGTTTTCTGAAGGCTAAGACATCTGTTTGGATAGCCATTACAAAATGAAACATTAGGGATTTGGGCTCAATTCAGCATAATTTGAAAGAGTGCACCTGGTCTTTCATTTATAATATTTCTGTCTTTTTTGTTGCTTTTATGATTTATATCTTACAAATCTCTCTGTTTTTTCTTCCTCTCCTTCTGTTGCAGTTTGATCAGATTATGGAAGGGCAATACAGACATGTGTTTCTTTAAAGCCATCCCCCTCCCCCAGGCCAGAACAGGTGTTGTAGAAATTCCTGGGTGACTGTTTTTCAAACAAAATTGAACACTGCACACAGAATGGCATGCAAGAGATTCCTTTCTGCCAATGTCTTCCATCAAAGGCATTGTTGTAGGAACCGTTTCCTAATATCTGAGTAAAGGTGGATAGAATCTCTTTAGAGATATATTTCATTGAAATTGATGGGTCTATTTCAAATATTTGCTAAGTAACTTCTAGTTAGTTCTAAAAGAGGTAAGTGTGAGAACTTTTGAGTTGCTGAGAATGGGTTTTCCAGATAAATCCCGGCAGGTCAGTGTTGGAGAATGCTTCCTCCTTAATTTGTACATGACCTGCATGCATGTGCTTGACAATGCAATCTTTTTATAGGTGACATGTGTCAATCCATTCCATGAAAAGGCAGAGACGGTCACTTCCAAAGTGCTCCCTATTGTAGCTCTTAAACTCAAAAACAAATCAGTATCATTTCTTGGACATTTACTGTGTGCCCAGTTCTTTACATGCATGGTCTAATTTACATAATTACCTGATTTAACTCTCTCATGTGACCTGTGATCAAAATATTACTATTATTCCTTTTGACAGATGAGGAAATATGAGGAAGAGGTAATTTGGCTAAGATATGGTGAACTGGGATGAGAATGTAGGTTAGCCAGATTTATTAATTTTTGTTCATTGAAATGAAAGTCACATAACAAAAATTAGCCATTTTGAGGTGAACAAGTCGGTGACCTTAAATGTGTTCACAGTATTGCACAACCACTACCTCTATCTAGGCTCACACATGTTCATCTTCCCAAAAGGGAACCTCATGCCCATTAAGCAGTCACTATGTTTACCCCTCACTCCAGACCCTGGTATCCACCAATCTGTGTTCTATTTGTATGGATTTAGAAAATGAAGGCACAGAGGGACCCAGAAAGTCATCCAAGTCACACTATTGGAGGTCCCCTTGTTCACCTCCTTAGTCCCTGTCCCCTCCCAACCTCCAAAAAGTTAACCCCATTCTGATGCCAGTTTCAACCATAACATGATGCAAACAGCTAATGTCTATTTAGTGCTGATGTATGCTGGGCACTGTTCAGGAACTTTGCATGCATTAATTCCTTTCATCCTTTCTACCTTATGCAGAAGATACTGCGGTTACCTCTGTTTTACAGATGAAAACATGGAGGCACAGAGAGGTCCAGAAAGTCATCCAAGGTCATAAGGCCACCAAGGGCCAGACCCTGGATTGGAAACCTGGCATTCTGCCACCAGACTCCCTCTCTGAACCACTAGGATGCACTGCCTCTGTGTGGTCTCATCCCTCACACAAGGGGTCATAGCACTACCAGCAAATCTGCAGCCATGCACTGTAGCCCATATAGCAAATCTGCAGCCCACGCACTGTAGCCCATACCCACAGCACAATTCAGAACCACAGCACAATTTAGAACAACAGCTTTCGGAGGTACCCAGGGCAGCCACCCCCTTCCCTGACTTTACCGTGAATCCCAACTCCAGCTGGAAATCAATATGCTAAGAGCCATAATGGAGGAACATACAAAGGCCCGTGGAGGCCCAGAGACGGGAGGGATTAGTTCTGCCTGGGGAGCCCAGAAAAGCATCTGGTTCTTTCATTTCTGTATTCCTTTACACGAGAATAAAATCCAAAACTACGTTCACATTATTGGGAAAGAGCAACAATCTTATAAAATCAGGATGAATTTTAGTGGTGGGCAAGATCCACACACATAGCCTTGGTCATGCCACCAGTTATCTGAGTGACCCTCGGCTGGTTGCTTTACTTTTCTAAGCCTTTGTTTCCTCATCTTTAAAATCAGAAGATTCTGACTTGCAGACATATAAAGTCCCTGGCATGTTGTAAGGCTGAATAAATATTCTTAATAAATGTTTTGATGTGTCAACCAAGACCCGTTTTTAGGAAGAGAGATGATAAACTTCATGTTAAGGTATAAATAACAACAACAATAAGAGCAACATTTATTGAGCTCTGATGATGTGCCAGACACTATTTTAAGTACTTTACATCTATATGGAAATGACTGGGAATATATTGCTTTTTTAACCAAAAAAAAAAATATGTTTTTAAAAACTATGTTAACAATAACCCCAAACAACTGAGTTCCATTTCACAAACTGATGTTCTGTAGGGAAACCCAGTCCTGTGATTTGGTCTGGGAAACATGTAATGAAAATCGGAAGGTTCCAGGTTCATCTAGGTTAGGGAAACTCAGCACACGCTATCCTTGTGGTTCCCAAGCTTTGCTGCATATTGAGATCACCAGGCCATGGTTGGTGTAGACCCGTGCTTGGCCCAGCTCCAGGCATTCTGGTTGATGTAACTTGGGTGCCACCTGGGCATCGGGATGTTGTAAAGATCCCGGGTGGGTCCAGTGTGCAGCCAGTGGGAACTACCTCTCCAGCTCCCTCTTGAAACTTCACTGGACCTAGTGGCACATTTTGAACTTTGAAGAGTTTATCTATTTTTAAAATTTGCATTTCCCAACTATTAGGTTGGTGCAAAAGTAATTGCATTTTTTCCCTTTTTTTTTTTCTTTGAGATGGAGTCTTGGTCTTGCTCTGTTGCCCAGTTTGGGGTGCAGTGGCGCGATGATGGCTCACTGCATCCTCCGCCTCCTGGGTTTAAGCAATTCTGCTGCCTCGGCCTCCTGAGTAGCTGTGACTATAGGCATGCACCACCACCCCTGGCTAATTTTTGTATTTTTAATAGGGCTAGGGTTTCACCATATTGGCCAGGATGGTCTTGAACTCCTGATCTTCGTGATCCGCCTGCCTCAGTCTCCCAAAGTGCTGGGATTACAGGTGTGAGCCACTGCGCCCGGCCTTCCCATTACTTTTAAGTGGCAAAAATCGCAATTACTTTTGCACCAATCTGTATATTTTTGTTTGAGCTCAACCAACCACCTTTTGGAAATCCCTCTCTCTTTCTGTTCTTGTTTTTCTTTTTCTGCTAAACATTATGAAATATTTAAAACATACATGATGCCCCCCGTCTCTTGCCCCATTACCTTGGGAGCTCATCTCCTATCTCTCTTCCTATGCTCTTTGAGCCCACCAGGCACTCGCCCTGGGCCTCAGCACCTGCTCTTCCTCTGCCTGGAGGGTCCCTCCCTGCTCATGTCCGTGGCTCCCTCTCTTATCCCTGCAGTTTTGATCCTCGTGTCTCCTTTGTATCAAAATCTTTCCTGGCTTCCCAATTTAAACCTTCTGTCCACTTTTCCCAACACCTCTATTCCATATTGACCTTCTTTGTCCTATTTTTCTCCATAGATCTTATCATCATCTGACAATTTAATAATTTTACTCATTTGTTTCTTGTCTGCACGTCTCTACTGTCTGTGCCACAAGGGCAGGGATTTTGTCATATTCACAACTGTGTCCCCAGCACCTAGAACAGTAACTGGCACAAAGCAGTTACTCAGTAAATATTTGTTGAGTGAATGAGTGAATGAATGAATAAATGAATTGGAAACAAATTATAAGCCCTTGTCTATCCACCATCCAGTGTCATGAGTATTTGTATTTTGCCTTATTTCCGTAGGTCCTTTCTTTTCTAAAAAAATAAAATGTGACAAATACTATTGGAGGCCCCCTTTTTCACCTCCCCAGTCCCTGTCCCCTTCCAAGTCCCCAAGAGATAACCCTATTCTAACGCTGATGAGTAATCTTCCAGCCCAATTTTGTACTTTTATATATGTGTCTAGGATTCTTTTAGGGTTTTAAAATTTTACATAAACTGCAAACTTTACCTAACTTTCTGCAATTTGCTTTTTATATCAACATTATATTTTATTCATGATGATACATACAAATTTAATTCACTCATTTTAAGATTGGTATAGAATTCCATTGTATGAATATTTTATAATTTATTATTTCCCCTCTAAATGGATATGTAGGTTGTTTCCAATTTTTTGCTATTACAAACAGAGCCACAGTGAACGCCTTGGGGCATGTCTTCTGTACACATGTGCAAGAAGACTTTTTCTTTTTAGATCTGGGATGTGAAATTGCTGGGTCTCAGGGTGGGTCTTCCCATTTGCTAGGTGTTACTAAATTTCTCATCAAAGTGGCTGTACCAATTGATGTTCCCTCCTGCAACGATTTCTGCCTATCTGGTGACTTGTGGGTTGATATCTTATTACTGCTTATTGTTTATCTTTCCCTGGCTCCTTGTGAGGCTGAGCTCCTTGTCACACGTTTATTGGCCATTCGAGTGAACTCATCTGTGAATTGTCTTTTGACCGCCTTCATCCATCATTGTTCTGAGCTGTTTGTCTTTTTGTTACTGACTTGTAGAAATTCTTTATATATTCCCGACACTAATCTTTTGTTGGCTATGTGCTTTGCAGACATCTCCCATTCTGTGGCCTTTTAACTTTGTTGATATTGGCTTTGCTATGCAGACAGTATATAGTTAATGTCAGAGCATTTTCCATTACACAAAATGAAAGGAATGAATGCTGGAATTTCAGGTAACACGTTAACAGGGTAGGGAGGAAGGAGGATGCAGTTTCTGGGGCTGGGAGCTTCACTGTAGTCTTCATCATGTCACTAGCAATTCCACTACAATCTCCAGCCCTAGAAAAGCGACTTGATTCCAAACCCTAATGTTGGTTAGTGAGAACAGAGCTGCTTCCTGCAGTGGGTCCAGTTTGCTTCTCTGTCTGGAAGAGATCCTGTGGTACTGTACTCCACAATGGGCCAGCAATCCCAGCTGTCATCTCTGCTGCAAAACCTTAGCTGATTTGCAGAAATGCGCCATTTTTCCTTTCTGATATATGTCGCCATGATAATGGGAGACAGTGGGAGGGAAGGATGAAAACAAAACTGTCCTAGGGTTGCAGGACTCAGAACAGGGATCCAGAGGTTTAGACAGGAAAGCCAACAGAAGGGTTCCATGGGAGACCTATGAGTACCCCACACCCACAGGTGATGGGAAGCCCTTTCAATGGCAGGCAGACACTGGTTCAGAAGCCTCCTTTAGAACCTGTTACCATGACGGTTTGGGGTGCCATATCTTATCAGTTACCTTCTGTTGTGTAACAGGTTACCCCAAAACTTAGTGACTTAAAACAATAGCCATTTATGTAGCTCACGACTCTGTGAGTTGGCATTTGGGCTGGGCTCCACTGGATGTTTATTCTCTGTTGGTCCTGGCTGGTCTCACACACGTCTCTGTGGCCAGCTGCTGGTCATCTAGGAAGCTCTGTTCCTGGGGGCTGCCTGTCTGTTGGCTGGAGTAATAGAGGAGGCTGGGCCACTGTCTCTGTTCATCTAGCAGGCTAGCCTGGTACGTCTCATACTCTGTGTCTAGTTTGCCAAAGCTGCAAAAGCAGAAGCTGCAAAGCTGACTGAGACCTAGGCTCAGGACTCAGACAGTGCTACGGCTGCCATATTCACTTGGCCAAGGCAAGTCACAAGACCTTACAAGATTCAACAGGTGGGCAGCAGGCTTCTTGATGGGAGAAGCTGGAAAGCACTGTGGCCATTTTTTCAATCTATCATAGTTAGAGAATTCTAAGATGCAAACCTCCGTTCAAGGTTGTTGCCAGACCTTATGATTGACCAAATTCACTCACAGGTTTAATTGTCATCTCCAAAAATGTATATAACAGAGACAAAATTGTTAATGTATGCAGAGTCGTGCCCACTTTCTCTCTGCACATGAAGGAAACCTCCAGCTTTGTCTGATGGAGGTGATTTTCCTGCCCTGCCCAAGACACACACACACACACACACACACACACACACACACACACACACACACACACACACACACGGAGTCATCTGGAAAAAAACGGAGGTGCTAGTCTGGGTAGATTCGGTTTGTAAAGGAGAAAGGAAAAGAAAATTAGTGTGGAAAAGGGTAGAAAAATGAGAGCCCCTGCTGTGATTTCAGGAGGAATCTCGAGGTAGAGCAGTGAGAGAAGGAAAGAGGCTTTGGGGCAGCTGCTGAGGATGAGAGAATTGGAGACTGGGAGGAATGGGAAATAAGAACTATAAAGAGTGTGGCTATGTATTAGGATTTGGGTCTTCTGCAATGTATTTTGGAAGATTCAGATACAGATTGGAAATACTTCTGATGCAGGACTCATTAAAAGACCATACCAGGCCAGGTGCGGTGGCTCACATCTGTAATCCCAGCACTTTGGGAGGCTGAGGTGGGCGGATCATGAGGTCAGGAGATTGAGACCATCCTGGCTAACATGGTGAAACCCCATCTCTACTAAAAATACAAAAAAATTAGCTGGGCGTGGTGGCGGGCACCTGTAGTCCCAGCTACTCGGGAGGCTGAGGCAGGAGAATGGTGTGAACCCGGGAGGCGGAGCTTGCTGTGAGCCGAGATTGTGCCACTGCACTTCAGCCTGGGCGACAGAGTGAGACTCTGTCTCAAAAACACAAAAAACAAATAAACAAAAAGACCATTCCAAGGCTGGACTGTGTGACCTCTGGCACTTAATTGAGGTTATGTCATATGTCCCTTTGCTGGGACATGCATGCTGCATTTCTTCTCTTCCAGGCCATGCATAGGCACATGCCCCTGCAATGGAAGAGCTTCCTATTGCTCAGCCCTCACCCTCAGCTAGGCTATTCTCTCCCCTGGAACTGGGGTCTTTTTTGTGTCTGCCATGGTCTTATTCAGCGGGAAGTCTGCAAGTTGCCTCATGCTATTGTCTAGAGGTTTGTGTTCTCCTCAAATTCGTGTATCAAAATTCTAACCCTCAAGGTGATGGTATTAGGACGTAGTGTCTTTGGGAGGTGACTGAGTCATGAAGGCTGTCAGATTAGTGCTGTTACAAAAGAGACCCCAGAGAGCTACCTCACTCCTTCTGCCATGTGAGGTTACAGTGAGAAAGTGCCGTCTACAGGGAATGGACCTTCACCAGACATGAAATGTTCCACTGTCTTCACCTTGGACTCCCCAGGCTCTAGAATTGTGAAAAATATATTTCTGTTGTTTATAAGCCACCTATTTTAAGGTATTTTTGTTATAGCAGCACAGATGGACTAAGACACGTCAAGATTGACTTTCTTTTTATGAAGATGGTGTCTGGCATGTTCATGGAAAAGACAATATCCCATGGCAGAGATCGCCAGCATTAAGGCCATTCATGGTGGTACGTTGTCAAAAAGTTTTCCTGTCCAATTGCTCAATTGCGTTTGTTGGGCGTGTGGAGGAAGGACCTATAATATGCTGTAATTTTGGATGTATTATTTTCAAGATTTGAATAAAATCTCTGAAAGTAGGTGTTAATACTCCTCTCTCATGATGAGGAAACTGAGAATCAGAGAGATTATTTGCTGCAAATTATATGGCCTGCGATTACTAGAGCTGGTATTAAAACCCAAGTCAGCTTGGGTTTCAAAGCCCCTGAAATGGACTTTTAGGGGACTTTTGGTGGCACAGTATCTGTGCACACTTTCCTTATACTTGGGAATTCCCCACCACGGAAGTTCATGCATCCTAAGACATGGTACATTGACTTGCTTTCCTTGCAACCATAGTCCTGGCATATGACCTTGATCATGACAACACGGAAAGCAAGTGCAGTTAGAAAGTCCAGGTCTGTGCAAAACCTGGACTTTCTTTTTAATTTTTGAGATGGAGTCTCACTCTGTTGCCCAGGCTGGAGTGCAGTGGTGCGATCTCAGCTCACTGCAAGCTCCGCCTCCCGGGTTCACGCCACTCTCCTGCCTCAGCCTCCCGAGTAGCTCGGACTACAGGTGCCCGCCACCACGCCCGGCTAAATTTTTGTATTTTTTAGTAGAGACGGGGTTTCACAGTGTTAGCCAGGATGGTCTCGATCTCCTGACCTGGTGATCCGCCCACCTTGGCCTCCCAAAGTGCTGGGATTATAGGCGTGAGCCACCGCGCCCGGCCAAAACCTGGACTTTCAAGGGAGTGGAGTGAAGTGAAGGAACAGGAGCCATGCAGAATCCACTCAGTGACGGTGATGGCAGGCGTGTCCTGCTTGGCTGAGGCTCCAGCCAAGCTGAGCTGTGTGGGGTTAGTGCCCTTGTGACATTGTGGAGCTTTTACTGAGGCAGGTCCTGGCTGCACAGCCTCTGAGACTGATTCCTGACCCACTTGGAGATCTGTGAGTGCCCTGACATTCTCATAAATTCACTTTCTGCTAAACTAGCTAGAGTGGGCTCTGTTGTTTATAAATAGGAATCCCAACTGGAATGGCTTATTTTGTTGGTTTTTCTAATTTTCAGTTTTTTCATTGTGGTAAAATATATATAACAAAATTTACCATTTTAACCATTTTTAAGTGTATAATTCAGTGGCGTTAAGTACATTCACTCTCTTTCTCTTTTTTATTTTTATTTTTTATTTTACTTTAAGTTCTGGGATATGTGTGCAGAACGTGCAGGTTTGTGACATAGGTACACATGTGCCGTGGTAGTTTGCTGCACCTATCAACCCGTCATCTAGGTTTTAAGCCCCGCATGTATTAGGTATTTGTCCTAATGCTCTCCTTCCCCTTGGCCCCCATCCCCCCAACAGGCCTCTGTGTGTGTGTGATGTTCCCCTCCCTGTGTCCATGAGTGTTTTTTTTGTTTGTTTGTTTTTGAGACAGAGTCTCGCTCTGTTGCCCAGGCTGGAGTGGAGTGGTGTGATCTTGGCTCACTGCAAGCTCTGCCTCCTAGGTTTCACGCCATTCTCCTGCCTCAGCCTCCCGAGTAGCTGGGAACTACAGGCGCTCACCACCACGCCTGGCTAATTTTTTGCATTTTTAGTACAGACGGGATTTCACCATGTTAGCCAGGACGGTCTCGATCTCCTGACCTCGTGATCTGCCCACCTCGGCCTCCCAAAGTACTGGGATTACAGGCGTGAGCCACCGCGCCTGGCCTTTTTTTTTTTTTTTTTTTTTTTTTTTTTTTTTAAATACAGTAAAGAGGATCCATTCTTGCTCCAAGCCAGGAAAAGTACCTGATTATTTCCTGTTAAAATGAAATGGACAGACTGGCACAGTGGCCTTTCTGGGTCATTCAAGAAATGATTCTGAAATGGTTTTCTTGTTGAGGGCGAGTGTCTGTGCCTCCACAGAACAGCTGGGCGCTCAGGCTTGCCCCAAAGTGGGACTTGAGTGAGTGTGGGCTCCACTCCTGGCCCCTCAGACAGGATGGACCCCAGCAGCCCACCCTGGGTTGCATTCCTAATGAACTTCACTGTTGTCCTGCTCCAACACCTCAGTACAAAGGGCACTGCCAGCACCAGGCCTGTGCAGATATTGAAGTACATTCTCAATGTTGTGCAACCACCACCTCTATGGTATGGCTTTTAACATACGTGTTTTATTAAGTTATCCCAACATCTCTTTAAGAATGAGGATTATTAACCTTGTTTTATAGATGAGAGGCCAGACCTCAAAGAGAGTAATTATGAGTAATTGACTTACTCAAGATGATACCACTGGTAATAAGAGTAGTAATAGTAGCCACCGTTTATTAAGTACGTACTACATGTATGTTACATGTAATCCTTTAGAAAGTCCTGCAAAATGGGCAATACTGTGGCTCCTATTTTACAATGAAGAAACAGGCTCAGCGAGCTTAAAGAGCTCAGAAATCATGTGGCCAGTTAGCAGATTTGGATTTTAACCCATGTGTGTCTGACTGTAAAGCCCTTGTTTACCTACCAGCCCATCCTATCTACTGAGGATTGGAGCCCAAGTCTTCTGATTTCTGTCTAATGCTTGTCCCTCATGTCATAAAGTTGGTCATGCCTTTAATCCCAGCACTTTGGGAGACTGAGGTGGGCAGATCACTTGAGGTCAGGAGTTCGAGACCAGCCTGGCCAACATGATGAAACCCCGTCTCTACTAAAAATACAAAAATTAGCCTGGCGTGGTGGCACACGCCTTTAATCCCAGCTACTTGGGAGGCTGTGGCAGGAGAATCACTTGAACCCAGAAGGCAGAGGTTGCAATGAGCTGAGATTATGCCACTGCACTCCAGCCTGGGTGACAGAGCAAGGCTCTGTCTCCAAAAAAAAAAAAAAAAAAAAAAAAAAATCGGGGGTAGTGTCTACTGCCGATGCTCTCATGATCGGGCTTTCTTTCTTCTTGTGCAAACCTGGGTTAGAATGTGAAGCTGGAAAATTAAATATTGGCAGGCTGGAGTTGAAGGCCTGTTCCCTGTGCCCTGGTTGCTGCGGTGCCTGGGACATAATTAGGGGCTCAAAGGGAGTTTGTTGAACAAAACTGAGCTCTGTTGAATCCGAGATAGAGGAATCTCTCCCAGTCCCCTGTTGGGCCAATTGCAGTACCAAAATTTGCCTGTGGATTCCAATGGCTAGCACATAGGGTAAAATAAAGGGTGGAGCACTGATTAATGAACCACTGAAGAAAGTAGAAAACAAGAGTAACAAGACACTGGATTTGAGTGTTGTAACAAGAGTTGCAAAATGTCAGCAACACTTTGATGAGTTTTATAAGTTGATCTCGAATTATATGCTAGGGGCCACACTCAGTACTGTACATGAATCATTTCCAGTCCTCACTACCGCCTAATGAGATAAAAATCCTTGGCACTGTTGGAAGAGCAAATCCTAATGCTTAAGTGCAGGCATTCTGGTCAAAGAAGAAGTCAAATTCCAGTGCAGTGTGTGAATGTTGGGGATGTTACTCAGCTTCTCTGTCTGTTTCTTCTACTGTAAAATGGGCATAACAACTGTACCTCTACCATATGGTTTTTGTGAAGTTTAAATGCATTCATGCCTTTCGAATGCTTAGGACAGCACCTGGCACAAAGAAAAGCTCAGTAGATGTTGTCTATTATTGTTCTTACTTGATAGACAAGGACACTGAGCACCAGGAAGGTTTAAGAACACGAATAAAGTCACCAAAGTAAAAAAGGTGAAGTTAAATTATGAACACAGGTTTGATCTCAAAGCTCCTGCTCTTTCCAGTCTATTAACAGGTACTTACTGAGCATCAGTTATGTGCTCCCATCTAAAAAGACAGGAAAGAAAGAGACAGACAGAATTCCAGTTCCTCAAAGAAGCAAATATTTTTGCGGAGGGAGAGAGATAATCAACATATATCCAAGTGATAAGCACTCTGGTGCCTTGAGAGGGATGAAGAAGGAGAGGGCATCATATAAAGAGAGGGACTGAGGTGGGTAGTGGTGGGGGAGGGAGACCTCTTTGAAGAGTAATGTTGGATAAAGGCCTGGGGTGGGGAAGGAGGAGGCAGCTGACTTCAAGGTCTGGGAAGAGTGTTCCTGATACAGTTTGTATATTTGTCCCTGCTCAAATCTCATGTTGAATTGTAATCCCCAGCATTGGAGGTGGGGCCTGGTGGGAGGTGATTGGATCATGGGGATGAATTTCTCATGAATGGTTTAACCTCATCCCCTTGGTGCTGTCCTCATGATAGTGAGGCCTTGTGAGATCTGATTGTTTAAAAGGGTGTGGTATCTCCCCCCACCCATGCTCTTGCTCCTGCTCTGGCCATGTGATGTGCCTGCTCCCCCTTCACATTCCACCATGATTGGAAGCTTCCTAAACCTCCATAGAAGCTGAGCAGATGCCAGTACAATGCTTTCTGTATAGCCTGCAGAACCATGAGCCATTTAAATCTCTTTTCTTTATAAGTTACCCAGTCTCATGTATTTCTTTATAGCAAAGGAAGAACAGGCTAACACAGTTCCCAACAGGAGGATCAAGTGCCAAGGCCCTGGTGACTTTGAGGAAGAGAAAGAGGCCAGTGCGATTGGAGAGCAGTGAGGTAGGAGGGTTTGGTGACGTCTTAGCCATTCATACCTTCTGAGATTGGACTCTTGCCTGAAAAAGCAGGGAACATTATTCCAGTGTCTGCTTGGGGGGACTGTATTAGTTTGCTAGGGGTGCTGTAACAAAGTACCACAAACCAGGTGGCCTCAAGCCACAGAAATTTCTTCTCAAACACTTCTGGAGGCTGGGGTCAGAAATCAAGGGGTCAGCAATCAAGGGGTCAGCAGGGCTGTGCTCTCTCTAAAGGTCTATGAGGAGAAGCTGCTCCACGTCTTTCTCCTCACTTCTGGTGTTGCTGGCAATCCTTGGCATCCCTTGGTTTACAGACCCAGCACTCCAATCTCTGCCTTTGTCATCTCTTCTCCAGGCCACCAGTCATACTGGATTTAGGGTCTACCCTACTCTAGTGTGACTTGTCATAAGTTGATTACAGCTATAAAGATTCTATTTCCAAATAAGAGTTCAACATCTGGGTCTGAGTTTCTCCTCTGCCTTTAACGATGGGTAGGTGTTCAGGGAAGTAGCTGAGTCTGGGTGAGCTTCCTTTCCCATCTCTAAAAAGGGCAGCTTATAATTATTAAAGCACCACCGTCTAAGTAACTCCCAAGAGCTCCCAAAAGAGAGAACACAGGAACAGCACCCCTGGAGGTGATCCGTGGGGGGTAGCGGGGAATACACCGCTACAGGAGGTTAGAACTTCAAAATCTCTTTCTGGGGGACATAATTCAACATGTAACAAGGACCAAAAAGTAGTAATATCGGTGAAAGCAACATTTCAACTGCATAGTGTGGTGCAACAGACCAGAGCTGTTATTCTGTTGGGGAGGAAGTCCAGGAAGGAAGATGCTGAGGGACAGGAGAGACCCGTCTTCTCACCATGATTCCACCAGACGGTGCTTGTGTGACCTCCAACAATTTTACAACTTCTTTGACCTCATCTTCCTTATTTTCCAAAGTAGTCATTCAGGCTGGATGATGTACTTTTGAATTCCCATGGTTTCAAGAACATTCCCCTTTACTGACCATAATTTACAATTATTCCACTGGCTAAGCAGGAGGTGGTACGTCAATGCCGTTCTTATTACACCTGAAGTTCAGCTTGTGAATATCGGCAAGAATCCAGACAAACATCATAATAAATAATGATAATTGTGATTATTGATTAAGTCACAGGCACTTTACTTTGTGATTTGCCACTATTAATTCAGTCTTCCTACAACCTGCTGAGGGATGTATTCCCCACCACCCCACGGATCACCTCCAGGGACGCTGTTCCTGTGTTCTTTGTTCTAGGGGCTCTCTGGAGTTACTTACATGGTTGTCCTTTAAGCATGATAAGCTGCCACTTTTAGAGATGGGAAAGGAAGCTCAGTGAGACTCAGCTACTTCCCTGAATGCTTACCCATCATTAAAGGCAGAGGAGGAACTCAGACCCAGATGCTGAATTCCAAAGCCTGAGCCTTTTCCAGGGTACCAAGCTGATATCTGCAGCTCAGAGGCAACTTTTTCATGGGAGGGAACGTGGGACTGGGGCTAGGGAGGGCTGGGTTAGTATCCCCGCTCTGTGACTTTGAAAGGTTCACTGAACCCCTCTGTGCCTCAGTTTTCCCGTTAGTATAATGAGGTCATACTCATTCCTAACCCATAAGCTTAAATTAAATGAGGGTTATATGTGGTGCTCCTGAAACTGTGCATGGCTGGTTAGGCACAAATGGAAAACGTCTTTCTCCATGGAGGAAAGTCACTGAGCACCTTTTCAGGGAACCTGCTCGCTGGGCAGATGGAGGAGCTGGTGATCAACACAGCCTTTTGAAGGGGTCGTCTTTTCCAACAGAACATGACACAGCCACAGGGAAAGTTGTTTTAGTTCCACTTAGTTTGATTTATTATTGATAATTCTGGAGATAAATTAGAATCATTAAAATAAGAGGCTGCAGTCTGCAGGCTGTTTTGAATTCCAGGGCTGTCTGCTTCGCATTTCCTGGGAACTGAGTGAGTACATTTGCATGTTTAGAGGGGGAGGGCCCTCAGAGAGCAGGAGGCAGAAAGTCCTGTCTGGAAAGTCTGGGCAATGAGAGAGGAAGCGCAGCTTGGAACTGTGTATTAGCCGCTGGGCCTGCCATAACAAGACACTATAGACTGGGTGGCTTAAATAACAGAAATTAATTTTCTCTTAATTCTTGGAGGCAAGAAGGTCTAAGATTAAGGTGCCAGCTGATTTGTTTCCTGGCGAGGGCCCTCTTCCTAGTTTGTAGATGGCCGCTTTGGCCTCACATGGCTCTTCCTCAGAGCATGCAGAGAGAGGAGGATGAGTGAGCTCTCTGGTGTCTCTTCTTTTTATTTTTTGAGTCGAAGTCTCACTGTGTCGCCCAGGCTGGAGTGCAATGGTGTGATCTCGGCTCACTGCAACCTCCACCTCCCAGTTCCAGTCACTATCCTGCCTCAGCCTCCCGAGTAGCTGGGATTACAGGCAAATGCCATCATGCCCGGCTAATTTTTGTAGTTTTGTAGAGATGGGTTTTCACTATGTTGGTCAGGCTGGTCTTGAACTCCTGACCTTAGGTGATCCACCTGTCTTGGCCTCCCAAAGTGCTGGGATTACAGGCATGAGCCACTGTGCCTGGCCCAGGTGTCTCTTCTTATAAGGACACCAGTCCTATTGGATCCAAACCCCACTCTTATCACCTCATTCAACCTTAATTACCCCCTAAAAGCCCCATCTCCAAATACAGCCTCATTGGGGGTTAGGGCTGCAACATATGGATTTGGGGGAGGGGAGGACACAGTTCAGTCCATAGTGCACTGCTTTCCACTCCTCCAGGAGGCCTGCCATGATTGTTAGTACTGTAACAAGAACAGTTGCCAGCACCTTACTTTCTGTGTCCCTACAGAAGCATAATGAGGTTAGGAACCTCATTACTATTCCTTTCGAAGATGAGAAAACTGAGGCACACAAAAGGAAAGTCACTGACCTAAGGTCCTCACCTGGTGAGGGGCGGAGCCAGGTCAGGGACCTTGTGCCTGGGACACCTTGTAGTGCTCATTGTACCTCGTCAGTCTTTCTCCCAGGGTGGCAGAGTGGGAAAAGTACTGCTAGAAATAAAATTTAGATTCAGAGGGTACATGTGCAGATTTGCTACATGGATATATTGTGTGATGCTGAGGTTTGGGCTTGAATTGAACCCATCACCCAAATAGTGAGCATAGTAACCAGTAGGTAGTTTTTCAACCCTTGCCCGCTTCAGCCCTCCTCCATTTGGAGTCTGTAGTGTCTATTGTTCTTGTCTTTATATCCATGTGTACACAATATTTAGCTCCCACTTCTAAGTGAGAACATGTGGCATTTGGTTTTCTGTGTCTGCATTCATTCAATTAGGATAATGGCCTCAATCTGCATCCATGTTGCTGCAAAGGACATGAGCTCATTCTTTTTTATGGCTGTACAGTATTCCATGGTGTATATGTACCACATTTTCTTTATCTAGTCCACCATTGATGAGCACCTAGGTTGATTCCATGTCTTTGCTATTGTGAATAGAGCACCAATTTTTGAATCAACCTTGGACTAAATACTACCTCTATCACTTAGAAGTTGTGAGACCATCAGCAAATTATTTGCTGTCTATCAGAGCAGTTGCATCACTTGGAAGGGGATAACAGGACTGCACTCACATGGTGTTCTTGAGGTCAAATAAAATGAGGTATGACATGTGCTTAGTATGAGGCCTGGAACATGGGTGCTATTCAGTCAGTGCAATCATTTCCACTTTGGGTGCTGTGCATGTAAGATCTACAGGAGTTCAGGAGGCCTTTGAACTTGCCCATTGAACTTGCAGAGGTGTGGTCTCATCTCTTACCCAAGTATTCAGGACCTTCCCCCAACTCCAACCCTCTCCCCCGATCTTACAAAGTGATCCCAGGAGAAGATGTGACAAAAATCATTTATGTTAAAGTGTAAATGACGAAGAAGGATTTTTGAGGTCATCTTTGATGATTTTAGAAAGAAATTATGAATTATTTTTTTTTTGAGATGCAGTTTCACTGTTGTCACCCAGGCTGGAGTGTGGTGTCACGATATCGGCTCACTGCAACCTCCGCCTCCCGAGTTCAAGCAATTCTCCTGCTTCAGCCCCCCGAGTAACTGGGATTACAGGCATGCACCATCATGCCTGGCTAATTTTGTATTTTTAGTAGAGATGGAGTTTCACTATGTTGGCCAGGCTGTTCTTGAACTCCTGACCTCAAGAGATCCATCTGCTTCGGCCTCCCAAAGTGCTGGGATTACAGTGAGCCACATGTCCAGCCAGAAATTACAATTTTTAATCTTTGAGGATGATAGCCTCTGGCAAGGCCAAACTTGGATCTTAGTGGCCCCGTTGTTCAAACAATATTGCTCACACCCTCCTATGTGTTAGGCCTTGTGCTGGAGACTGGCGGGTCCATGTAGAAATGACTAAGATTTAGAACTGCCTCAGAAGGACTGATTCCCAAATCTGCCCCTTCCTCAGTTTCCTTTCTTATTAAAAGGCATCACTGCTCATCCAGTAGTTCATACTGAAACCCTCAGGGAGTCATCCTTGGTTCTTCTTTCACATCTGGTTCTACCCATCAGCAGGTCATTTCAGCTCCAAGTTTTATTCCCAATCCACCCACTCTGTACTCCCTCCAGAGCTGTTGCCCTAGTGCAAGCCAACATCATCTCTTACTGGGACTGCAATAATTCCCTGGCGAGTCTTTTGGATTCCACCCTTGCCTCTCTATGATCCATGCTCCACAGCACAGCCAGAACAACCTTGATGCAATGTCAGCCCTGCCACACTATGCCCCTGTTCAGAGTTTCAGTGGCTTCCCACGCAACCTAGAATGCAATCAAATTTCTCACCCTGGCATTGAGGAGTAGTGGTTAAGTAAGTCATGGGTTCTGGAGACAGACTGACTGAATTCAAATCCTAGCTCTGTCGCTCACCACGTTCTGTGATCTTTGGCAACTTATTTTACCTTTCTGTGCCTTTGTTTTCTCATCTGTAAAATCAGGTTAATGCTATTACTTACCTTGAAGGATGCTGTGATAGTAAATGGATTTATACATGGAACGTGCTTGAAATAATGCCTGACAGTTTGTAAGTAAGTACTTTGTGAGTGTTAATCTTTATTCTGATGATGCTATCTTGTAAGGCCCTATTTGACCCATGCCTTCTACTCTAATCTAACTTTCCTCTATTCCTTTCTTCCCTCACTGTGGCCCAGCTACACTTTCCTTCTTGCTTGACCTTGAGTATCTAAGCATGTTCCTGCCGCAGGCCTTCATGCTTGCTGTCCCCTTCACTGGGAATGCTGCATGAGGCTCCTTCCTTGATATTTGTGCAGTTGTCACCACTCAGGAGGTCTTCCCTGATGACACCCATGTCAATTTATTCTCTTGTTCTGCTTTCCTTTTCTTAATATTTCTTATCATTACTTGATAAATGTGTTTGTTTATTATGTTCTCCCTATTCTGGTTATCCATTGATGCATCATACACCACCCCCAAAACAACATTAATCTTTTTTTTTTTTTTTTTAGAGACAAGGTCTCACTCTGTTACCCAGGCTGGAGTCCGGTGGTATAATCATACCTCACTGCAGCCTCAAACTCCTGGGCTAAAGTGATCCTCCCACCTCAGCCTCCTGAATAGCTAGAACTACAGGTACGCACCATCACATCTGGTTAATATTTAGACTTTTTTGTAGAGATAAGATCACCCCATGTTGCCTAGGCTGGTCTCAAACTCCTGGCCTGAAGCAATTCTCTCACCTCAGCCTCCCAAAGTGCTGGGATTTCAGGTGTGAGTCACTGTGTCTGGCCACCATCAATCACGTTATTATCTCTTATGGTTTCTGTGGTCAGGAACCTGGGAAAGGCTCAGCTCAGCGGTCTTGGCTTGGTGAACCCTCATGTGGTTTCAGCGAAATGGTGTCTAGAGGAGCATCTCTGTCTGTCCTCTCTTTTCTTGTAGACTCAGGGCATCTCCATGTGGACTAATTTGGGCTTCCTCACAGCATAGAGGCCTCGGGATGGTCAGACTTCTTACGTGGCAGCTCCAGTGCAAGTGATCCAGGGAACCAAGAGGAAACTGCCTGGCTTCTATGGCCCAGCCTGGAAGTCACAGAATATCACTTCCTCTTTATGCTGGTGACCAACCAATCATTAAGGTGGGCCCAGGTTCAAGGTGAGGAATAGAGAACCCACATCTTGATGAGAAAAAGATGAAAGAATTTGCAGACATGTCTTAAAACTACCACATTTCCCAGCTAGATATGAGCTCCATGGGGACAGGAACTTTGCTTTGTTCACCATGGTATCCCTGGAATCTAAAATAGTGCCTGTCGCCTAGTGAGTGCCCCCAAATATATACATTTTTTTTTCTTTTTTGAGATGGAATTTTGCTCATGTCACCCAGGCTGGAGTGCAATGGCGTGATCTTGGTTCATCGCAACCTCCGCCTCCCAGGTTCAAGAGATTCTCCTGCCTCAGCCTCCCGAGTAGATAGGATTACAGGCCCGTGCCACCATGCCTGGCTAATTTTGTATTTTTTTAAGTAGAGATGGGGTTTCTCCATGTCGGTCAGGCTGGTGTTGAACTCCGGACCTCAGATGATCCACCCTCCTCGGCCTCCCAAAGTGCTGGGATTATAGGCGTGAGCCGCCACACCCGGCCAAATATTTACTGAATCAATGAGACAGTTAAGACTGTGCTAAAGCCCCAAACTGAAAAGTACTTTTATCACCACAGTTATCAACAGTTCCAACAATCCATTGAACCAATTACTAAGCACAGAGAAGAAATGATACTAATTAAGCATGAGAAAACAAACTTTATTTAGAAGGCAAAATGCAGTATTACCTCCATAGACACAATCACCAGGGTCTTATCCTTGGGGTTCATGTCTTATTCATCTCTGTCTCTTTTAGAGCTGAGCACAGAGCCTGGTGCAAGACAAGTGAGCAGCAAATACAGTGAATGGGGTTTTAAAAAGAATGGCCAAGTATACTCTAGTCTTGAGATTATTTCATAGCCTCCTTATTAAAAAGTTAATAAAATTCCCACTTCTGGGTCCCTTGGCTCAGGGAAACAGGTGCACTGAAGAGAAATGTGTGAACTATCATTTATCAAACACCTGCCATGTGCCAAGGAATGTGCCAAGTGCTTTGTAGGTACAATGTGGTTTATTTTCCATAGTCTGCCATAAATTTGGGTACCATTATTATGTCTTTCATCCCACACCTTGTAGATGTTGAAAGTGAGGCTTAGAGAAGTTAATCACAGCCCATTTCCCATTAAGGCTATAAGTAGTAAGCAGTAGGGAAGGAGATAGTAGGGCTGGGAGAAGGGGGATTCTAAGGTTTATTTGGCTCCAAAGCCTGAGTTCATTGCCAGATTCCTTGCTGCCTCCTTAGGGCCTCAGGGCCTTCCCACAGCATGCATAGCTGAAGGCTGTTTCCCATCTCACCTGCACCTGGACTTTTAATATAGTTGGTCCATTAAGGAGTATTTTGGCCATTTGAGTTGATGTTTAGCAAAGACCAATTAGTGAACCATTACACCGACTGTCTGTTACTTTAAGATACTATTCAGGTGGGCATCTTCTTTATAAATGTTCTCATTATCAACTGCTTAGAGTAAATAATTTTGAAGGGGTGACAGATGATTCCAATACACTTGAACTTAGCGAATCTGATATCTGATCTTGGAGGAGTGCCTGGGGTTTATGTAAGTTGCCAGTACCCTGATGAGCTGGAGTTCATAGCCTATCTGCATTTTAGGATTGAGACGGAGTTCTTGGTCCTCTGGAGCCTGTGGGTAACCCTGAGAGTCACTTTTAAAGGCATTATTTCTCAGGAGGCAGTGGGTGGTACAGGAAGCTTGGGATGCGGATTCAAAGCCAGGGCTCCCTTTTCCTAGCTGTACAACCCTGGACCAGTGACTTAGTTTTTCTGAAGGTCTATTTCCCCATCTGTCAAATGGGGACCACAATACCTACCTTCCAGGCTGGATGAAGTGAGATAATAGGGAAATATTTATCAATCACCTATTATGTTTATGCCAGGAGCGGTTCTAGAGAATGGAAATTTGGTAGCCATAAAACCAAGTCCCTGATATCATGGAGTTTACATTGTAGGGGGGCTTAACATGAACATGGAAAACAAATGTAAAAATATCATTTTAAGTGGTATTAAGTCCCATGAGTATAAAGGAATCATGGTGGCGGGGGGCGGGGGGGCATGGTACAGGGGCAGTGGGAGGGCTGTTTACACAGCAGGGGTTGGGGATGGGGAGTTCTTTCTGGTATTTCAGCAGGGACTCAAGTTGTGTAAGAAAGGGAGCTGATTTCAGGCCGAGGAAAGAGGGAAGAGCTAGTGCAGTGACCTGAGGGAGGGGCCTCCTTCTCTAGTGGAGGAACCAGGAGGCCAATGTGACTGGAGAAGAATGACAGGGGAGGGGGAGAAAATGAGGTCAGAAGAGCAGGGCTGGGTCATGGGGGTCCCGGAGCTCGGGATGGGGTCTTGGAGTTAGATTCTACAAGATGGTGTAGGAAAAGTGCATGAGTTAATGGGTGCTCACAGGTCAGTTGAATAAATGACTCTTTGCCATCATCTGTGACACCCTCTGCTGGACAAGGAGCAGAGATAGAATAACTACACTCCCCATTCTTCAAGCTGCCTAGTTCCTTTTCCTCAGTTCCTACCTTCTAGATGTCATTCCTAAGAACTGAAGATTCTGAACATTTTGCTTGGTTCTGGCATCCCAGGCTAAAGTGCATCTGAAGAATTTCCTGGCTGATAAAAAGTATTTATTTTCCCTAACCAGATGCATTAAAAAAATAACAGAATGGAAAATGTCCTCTTTAATTAAGCTTTGTAATCCATTTCCTTTGTGGCTGAGAACAAATTTACCAAGCTTGCATTTGAGAGGTTGTCATTGCAGGGGAGTGAGCGGGGGTCTCAAGCTCAGAGAGAGTGGGGACAGCCTTGCTTTCATGCTGCAGACTCAGAGAACTTTCCAAACATAAGCACAAGCAGCCTCACCCAGCCCCATTTTATGCAGGTATACAAGGATGGCAGCTACAGTAGACAGGGACTTGCTATGTCCTTGGGTGCTCTTCTAGGCCTGAGGAAATAGAGGTCGATGGTTCTTTGCAAAGGGTTTCATCTATTCCTTACCATGCTGTGAGGCAGGGACCAGTTATTGTCCACATTTTGGAAAAAAAGGAAAATTGAATCTTGGAGTGGAAAAGTAAGTAACCCAAGGTCGTGCAACTCAGAAGCGGGTGGGCAAATGATGCTAGTACCGATGAACTTGGCTCAGCCAAACTTTAGTCAGGCTTCTCCTTCCTACAGGCTCCTAAACTTTGCTCATCCTTAAGTTTAAGCAAGCATCCAGGTGTAGAACAGCTTGTTCTAGGAGGCTGACCAGAAAGAGAAATCCAGTTAAATTCCCCCTTCATGTTATATGCTCCCCTCACCACCTGCCAGCCTCCCCCAAAGTCCCTGCCAGTTCTGCTTCCCCCTCCCTAGAAAAGAAAGCCCTATTTGGTTTGATTTTGAGATGCTTCAAAGACCCCAAAGTCACAGTGTTCTCCCCACTGTAATAGTCTCTCCTATCCTAAGTCAAGGTTGGTTTTTCATTTGACATGGGTGAGTTGTGATTTAAATCCAGAATTCTCTGAACTATTTAATTTATTCAAGGGTTAGAGTACTCTGAAACATTTACTCCTATATGGAATACTGTGACATATGGATGCATTTTCTTCTACAAAGCAAACTAGAAACAATATTGCCGATGATGTGGTCAGATTCAGATCTGACTATATTACGTGAAAGTTGGTCTTCAAGCCTAAAAAACATACATAAAGAATTTTAAAAACATCTCAATTTTCTATAAAAAGCATGTTTCTATTTGTTCATTTGCTTGTCTTTTGCCCACATAGACAAGCAGATGTATGATATTTTAAAGAAAAATTATGGGAAACAAACTTAAGTGTAAGAAGACTAATATGTATTTTTTTCCTGTGAAATATGGTATAATAACTTCATTTGAATTCAGCAAGTGTTCAGTAAAGAAACTGTCTTCTGAGCTAATTAAGCACAATTTCTGGGCTGGCAGAATTGCTTTAAGTGGTCAAGGGCACACAAATCAGAAACAATGGATCTGGGTTTGAGTCGAGGTTTTGCTGTTTGCTGGCTATGCAGCCTTGGTCAATTTCCTCAGTTTTTCTGTCTATAAAATAAGGATTAAAATAGCACTTTCCCCCATTTTCCTGTTGTGATGAGGCTGAAGTATACTGATGCATGAAGCATGATGCATTATGCTTGCTCAATAGAGTTTAATAAATATAAGAGAAAGAATCCACCCTGGGGAGAAGCACTGTTTATCTTTAAAGATGGTTTGCAGAGCAGGAGAGACATTCTGATAAGCAGTAATAACTCACAGTTCAAGTCTACCTGATTGCATAAAAATGTGTCTTTTGTCCCAATTTGCCCCATGGGTTGCTTCTTCCTACTCCAACTCTTAGCAAGTGTTTCCCAAGTTAATTGCATCAGTAGCTCCTCATGGAGGCTTCCTGCAGCTCTGGGGTCTTGGGTCCTTTAGGCTGTAGGTTACATTTACTTGTCGCCAGACACCTTCCCAGCGGCACAGCCAGGTGTAGGCATAGAGGCCAGCTGGGGCTAAGTCCGCTCTTGCACTGTTGGCTTCAGCTGTGCGCAGGCAAGCACTTGATGTGTGGACAAGTAAACCTGTTCTTGAGCAAGGAGCTCTAGAGACCCAAGAACAGGGGTTGTTGGGAAGATAAGGGGCTGCACTTGGGGCTGTAACATTAGCTTGAAGCAAATCACCCGGGTCAGACTGTGGTTGCATGAATGAATGAATGAGTCTGCTTAATACAACCCTCAATTTTAGCACTGGTCACAGGATGACGCATCCATTTATTCACCTGGTTGCGACAGTGTCACTGTATTTATTCCCGAGGGCTGCTGTACCCCAATATTGCAAATTGGATGGCTTACAACAATAGTTTATTCTCTCACAGTTCTGGAGGCTAGAAGTCCAAAATCAAGATGTTGGCAGGGCCATGCTCTCCCCAAAATCTCCGGGGGGGACCCCTCTTTGCTTTCTTCAGCTTCTGATGACTCTTGGCATTCCTTGGCTTGTGGCAGCATCACTCCAATCTTCACCTTCATTATCATATGGCTGTCTTCTCCCTGTGCCCCTCTTTTCTTATATGAACACTAGTCATAGTGCCTTAAGGGCCTACTCTACTCCGGGAACTAATTACATCTATAAAGACCCTATTTCCAAATAAAGTCACATTCACATGCATCAGGGGTTAGAACTGGAACATAGCTTTGTGGGGGACATAATTTAACCCGTAACAGTCACTGTTGGTGGCTGATCCCACTCCCATTCACAACGTCCTCTTCCAGGTACCTGATACTTAGGGGCAGACATATGGCACAGTTCTGACCACTCAGAGCTCAGAGGAGGTTTATGGGATGGGGCACCCAGGGAAGCATTACTTTCCCTGGTAACTAGGAAGAGACTTGACTGGCAAGCCTCCTTTTATCATTTTTCCTACTTCCGGTTTGGAATATGCTCATATTAGAGGCACAGCCATCATCTGGGGGCTAGGAGTGACATATGCAAGGAGAAAAGCCAACACACTAGTGATGGTAAAGAGAAAAGAGAGAAGGAACTCAGGTCCTTGAGCTCCTGAGTCTCCACTGTAGCCCCATCTGCCTTTGGGCTCATTGCTTTGGAAGCCAAATGAACTCCCATCTTTCAGTGTCATTGTTATGGGGTTCTGTTATTCTACAGCTAAATGCACACCTGATCAATACACATGGTTATATTTCCCTGATTATGAGAATGATGATAGCTAAATCAGAAAAACTACCATTCATTGAAACTCTCTTTGGAGGCATTGTATTAAATGCTTTACATGGATCATATAATTTAATAAATATCTCTGTAAGGTAGCACTGCTATTATTCCCATTTAACAGATGAGGAAACAGAGTCCTAGACAGGTTAAGCACAGATCGTGGTCACATAGTGAAAAAGTGACTGAAACAGGATTCAAGCACCAGTCTACTGGTTCTCAAGCTGGTGCTCCTACTGTATCGTATAGCCTCTTCCCAGGAAAACCTTGAGAAAAGAACAATAGCAATGATGACATTGCTCATTTATTGAGAACACACTATCCATTCAGTCACTTACTGAGTCAGGCAATGTGCTAATGCTTTACCTACAGAATCTCATGGTGAAGTCTTCAGAATGCAGGGGCTTAGCACTCCTTCCACAGCCCTCGGCACAAATGGCTCTGAATAGCTGAGTGATGCTGGGTTCATTTGAGCTGGACTCTACAGGACGAGTAGGAGTTTGATAGGTGAGGAAGAAGAAAAGGAACATTTCAGAGAGGGGAAGCCGCAGGGTCAATGAATGGTGCCTTGCCAGGGTTTGGTTATCATAAAAGGTTTGAGTGTGGCTAAGGTTGTTAGCTGTTTCCCAATATCCATTCTCTCCTTCTTTCTGTTAGAAATAGCACATCCCCAGCCAGGCGCGGTGGCTCACGCCTGTAATCCCAGCACTTTGGGAGGCAGAGGCAAGGCAGATCACGAGATCAGGAGTTCGAGACCAGCCTGGCCAATATGGTGAAACCTCATCTCCACTAAAAATACAAAAATTAGCCGGGTGTGGTGGTGCACACCTGAAGTCTCAGCTACTTGGCAGGCTGAGTCAGAAGAATCACTTGAACCCGGGAGGTGGAGGTTGCAGTGAGCTGAGATCACGCCACTGCACTCCAGCCTGGGTGACAGAGCGAGACTCCATCTCAAAGAAAAAAAAAAAAGAAAGAAAGAAATAGCACATCCCCAAGTTTTATCTAAGTACATGGCCACCCAGCTATAGACAACGTTTCTGAGATTCTCTGAGTTTGATTAAAGTCTCACCAATGGAATGTGTAACTTGCTGTTATTTCTTTAAGAAACAGCTTGCCTCCTACTTTACGTAGGCCAAAGTATGGGCATGGTAGTGACCCAGTTTTGATCACGGAGGTAAAGACAAAATACCCGGGGTTGATGTAGCAGGAAGATAGAAGGAACCTGGGCCCCTGAATGACTTCATGGAGCAGAGCTGCTCTGTCAGCTTGGACCTCTTATCTTTGTTAGATAAGAAAGAAATAAACTCTTTTCTTATTTAATCAGTTGAATTTTGGGGCTTCTTTGTTATAACAGATTAGTCTGTACATTAATGAATCTATTGGATCTTAACCTGGATCACATCTGGAGGAAGAAACACCTAGTTAATTCAGTCTAACTCTCAGGAGAAGACAGAAAATCGAGAGATGAGAAGAAGCTTGATTGGGGAGAAGAAGAAAAGCTGCAAGACCCTTAATTGTTTCTTTCACTTGTTAATTTACTAATTCAACAAATGTTGATTGAACACAGACTGGGGCAGCTACCTAAGCCATATTTTCTCCCCTATTTTTTAAATTTTATTTTGTTTTTAATTGACAAATAATAATTGTACATATTTATGCGGTACAGAAATGTTCTGATAGATGTATACATTTTGTAATGATCGAATTGGATTAATTAGCATATTTGCCCTCTCAAACATTTATCTTTCTTTGCAATGAGAACATTCAAAATCCTCTTTTCTAGCTATTTTAAAATATGCAATGCAGGCCAGGCGTGATGGCTCACTCCTGTAATCCCAGCACTTTGGGAGGCCTAGGCAGGCAGATCACTTGAGGCCAGGAGTTCGAGACCAGCCTGGCAAACATGGTGAAACCTCGTCTCTACTAAAAATACAAAAATTATCCAGGCGTGATGATGCATGCCTGTAATCCCAGCTACTTAAGAGGCTGAGGCAAGAGAATCGCTTGAAACTGGGAGCTGGAGGTTGCCGTGAGCTGAGAGCCGAGATTGCACCACTGCACTCTAGCCTGGGTGGCAGAGCGAGACTCCGCCTCAAAGAAAATAAATAAATAAATAAATAAATAAATAAATAATAAAAAAGTAAAATATGCAATGCAATGCAATATTATTAACTGTAGTCCCTCTACTGTGCAATAGAACACCAGAACTTATTTCTCTTAACTGTAACTTTGCACCTGTTGACCAACTTCTCCCCTTTCCCCTTTTACTCCTCCCCACCAGCATCTGGCAACCACCATTCTACTCTCTATTTCTATGAGTTTTGACTTTTTTAGCTCCTACATATTAGTGAGAGCATACGCTGTTTGTCTGTCCGTGCCTGGCTTCTTTTGCATAACATAATGTCCTCCAGGTTTATTTGCCACAAATGACAGGATTTCATTCCTTTTTATGGCTAAAGAGTATTCCATTGTGTATATATACCACATTTTTGTTATCTGTACATCTGTTGATGGACGATAGGTTGACTCCATATCTTGGCTGTTGTGAATACTGCTACAATAAATATAGGAGTGCAGATATCTCTTTGACATACTGATTTCATTTCCTTTGGATATATACCTAGGAATGAGAATTCTGGATCATATGGTAGTTCTATTTTTAATTTTCTGAGAAACCTCTATACTCTTTTCCATAATGGTTGAACTAATTTACATTTCCAGTGAGAGTGTTTAAAGGTTCCCATTTTTTCACATCCTTACCAGCATTTATTATTTTTTGTCTTTTTGATAATAGCCATTCATTTGAGTGAATTTTTGTATATGGTGATAGATAAGGGTCTGATTTCATTCTTCCACGTGTAGATATCCAGTTTTTCCCGCAGTATTTATTGAAGAGACTGTCCTTTCTTCATCATGTGTTCTTGGCATCTTTACAGAAAATAAGTTGACCATATATGCATGGATTTATTTCTGGACACTCTATTCTATTCCACTGGTCTGTATGTCTTTTTGTATTCCAGTGCCATGCTGTTTTGCTTATTGCAGCTTTCTAATATATTTTCAAATCAGGTAGTGTGATGCCTACAGCTTTGGTCTCCTTGCTCAAGATTGCTTTGGCTAGTCAGGGTCTTTTTTTGGTTTTATATTAATTTTAGATTTTTAAAAAATATTTCGGGGAAGAATGTCATTGATAATTTGATAGGAATTACATTGCATCTATAAATTGCTTTGGGTAGTGTGGACATTTTAATAATACTAATTCTTCCAATCCATGAACATGGCATGCCTTTTCATCTATTTGTGTCTTCTTTAATTTTTTCTTCAATGTTTTATAGTTTTCAGTGTAGAGATCTTTCACTTCCTTGGTTAAATTTATTTATAAGTTTTTTTTGGTAGCTATTATAAATGGGATTGTTGTCTTGATTTTTTTCAGATAGTGTTCTGTTAGTGTATAGAAATGTTATTGATTTTTGTATGTTGACACTGTGTCCTGCAACTTTACTGAATTTGTTTATGAGTTCCAACAATTTTTTAGTGGAGTCTGTAGGGTTTTCTATATACAAGATTATGTTGCCTACAAACAGAGGCAATTTAGCTTCTTCCTTTTCAATTTGAATGCTTTTTTTTTTCTCTTGTCTGTTTCTCTGGCTAGGACTTCTAGTACCATGATGAAGAGAACAAATAGACAAAAACCATACATGATCATTTCAATATAATTTATCTCACATTTCAATAGCTGCAGTAAAAGCATCTGACAAAATTCAACATCCCTTCATGATAGAAACTCTCAGCAAATTAGGAATAGAAAAAATGTGCTTCAACACAGTAAAAACCATATATGGCAAACCCAAGGCTGATGTACTGAACAGAGATAAGTTGAAAGCTTTTACTCTAAGATCTGGAGCAAGACAAGGATGCCCACTTTTGCCACTTCTATTAAACACAGGACTGCTCTATTTTCTTCATCTCATTTATCACTACTTAAAATTACATTATCTCTCTTGAGTGGAGTAGTATTTACCAGAAGGTAAATTTATTGCATTAGAGAAGGAAACGTTATCAAGTTTCGCTAGAGCTAGAAGAAATATAAAGTGGGAAGTCTGCAAATTCATGGGAACTGCTATAAATCATTATTGCCCCATGGAGAAACAGACAAAAAATAAGCAGATTTCAGCCCAGCAGAGGTCTATTTTCTGATGAGCAGAAGAGTAAGGTGAGTCAAGAACACAGCTGGGCTTTGATTGAATGAAGCAGAGGGTACAATGGGGATGGGGGTCTGATCTCCCACACTAAGTTGGTTAGGTACTGGGACCCATACAAATAATAATGAGAGACATCCTGTGCAAATGAAGTAAACAACATTGAAGACAGGACAACTCAAGATTGAGGGAGGAACCAAGAGGGGCTGTTCAACAGAATAAGGATGAGATCACAAAGGGATGAAACTGAGCGCTGGGTAGAAGAGATTGACCTAGAGCTTCTGGGTCTGTGTATACTTTTTATTTCTCTCACTATTTCACTTGCAACCAATTCTAAGCAGAGCAGTCAAGGCCAATGGAGTCTCCCCTGTTTACTCTGTTGCCCCGATTACATGACCAGACACCCCACAGAGAGCAAGGTGTGTGAGCCACAATTTATTTATTACTTGTTCAGTGTCTCCATGAGGGGAAGGAGTTGGTCTGTCTTGTTCACTGTGGCCTCCCCAGCACCTAGAACAATGCCTGGCACATAATAGGAGCTTCATAAATAACTTTTGAGTGAATGAATAAAGAAAGCAGACAAAGGAATAAAATAGTAGCCAATTTCAATGATTCAAAGAAAGAGATAGCTAGTTTGAGATGGAGAAAACAGAGGGAACCATCCTTTAGGAATACAGCCAGGGAAGTATGTTTATGATGAGGCTCAAGGGAGAGAAAGAGTTAGCTATGCTAAAAATAGGGAGGAAAGCATTTCAGGCAGAGGGAACCGAATGTGAAAGACCTCAATGTGGGAAAGAGTTTGGAATGTTTCAAGAACTAAAAGAAGGTTGGTCAGACTTCAAGGAGAGTGGGATGAACAGAGCTGGAAGAGGTCATCAGGGGATGGATCCTGTAGGGGCCTGGTGGGCATCATTAGGAGCTGAGATTTTATGAAGATTTGTCTCTACTCTAGGTCTAGGGAGACCTAATTCAATTTTGCTTTGAAGAAAGAATCCCAATTTCTGTGTAGAGAATGGATTGGAGGCAGGCAAGAGTGTAGGTGAGAGAGAATCAGTGGTTTACATGAGAAATGATGCTGGAATGGACTAAGGGTGTGGCCAGGCAATTGGAAAGAAGTGGGTAGATTTATTTGGAGCTTGCTGATGGATTGGATGTTGGAAGTGAGGGAGAGAGGAATCAAGGATGCTGTATCAGCTAGCTATTGCTGAGTCACAAATAACCCCCATATTAAGTGGCTTAAAACAAGTCATTTACTACAGATCATGCCTCTTGTGCATTGGTCGTGGACTGGCTGGGCTAAGGTGAGCTCCCTACTGACCTCGGCTGGACTCACTCATGCTTTTTTGGGTCAGCATGGGTGGGAGGAATGGGTGCCCTGCTTTCATCTGAGCTTATCTGGGCTAGCTAAGCTGAGGCAGCTCTGACCCCGTTGCCTCTCTTCCATCGTCTCTGGGATGAACGGGCATGTTCGTCTCATGGCACAAGAAGGAGCAAGCTCAATTACACAAGAGCCTTTCAGGACTCTGTGTTACATTTACTAGCACTCCACTGTCCAAAGAAAATCCCACAGAGATAAGGAATTATGCTCTAGCATAGTGGGAAGTACGGCACCCCATTTAATTGGCAAAAGGTGTGGATACCAGAAGGGGTGAAAAATTGAACCATTAATGCAGTCTACCACAGATGCCTCTCTGCTTCTGGCTAGTTTTTATTGTAATTTCCCCCTTGTTCCACTTTAAACAATTTTACTCTCTTCCCACCCACAGAATAGCACTCCTATTTACTTATCTTTGGAGCCTCCCAGGAGGAATAAAACAACAGAACTGGAGACCTGTTCTTGTGCTTTGGCCTTCCTGCCCAGGATGGGAGGGTAAAGGTCTGGGTCAAGGGTAAGTTTCACCCCTTTGAGTTTGGCTCTGAATCTGTGGAGCTGAGGATGCATGTAGAGTCTGGCCACAGTATTGTGTGGGCTGATGCTGAACGTGGAACACACAAGTGCAGGTTTACAAAAGCAATTGAGAAAGGCCTTGGCTGAAATGCAGAGAATATCTGCAGCTTAAATACTGGAGCGATTATATCATTTGTGGGGTTTTGCAAGCTAATTTGTTTGCTGCCTTTTCAATTTGCCATTCAGTTTCCATGGTTTCACGGTTGGTCAGAGATGGAATATTTAAACCCCATAGACAAAGCTTGAAGTTGAAGTGCTAAAATGGCTGTGGAATTGTTTTATAGCACACTGGTGGAAAGACGGCCATCCAGGGAATCGAGAGAGTGAGAGTTCTGGCTTTGTCACCTTTATGCAGAGTTCCTTCTCTGTGCCTTGATTTCCCCATCTGCGATGTGATATGAGCTCTATGGTGGTTCCTTCCAGCTTTATATTAGTGACAACAATAATAAAAGCAGCAAATATAATAAGTAGAAGTAGCAGGAGTAATAATAGCTAATGTGTATTTAGCTATTATTTCAGTAAATACCTTGGCTGGGCGCGGTGGCTCACTCCTGTAATCCCAGCACTTTGGGAGGCCGAGGCGGGTGGATCACCTGAGGTCAGGAGTTCGAGACCAGCCAGACCAATATGGTGAAACCCCATCTCTACTAAAAATACAAAAAATTGGCGGGGCATCGTGGTGTGTGCCTGTAATCCCAACTACTCGGGAGGCTGAGGCAGAAGCATCGCTTGAACCTGGGAGGTGGAGGTTGCAGTGAGCCAAGATTGCACCATTGCACTCCAGGCTGGGCGACAGAGTGAGACTCCATCTCAAAAAAAAAAAAATACACTATATGTATATTTAATCTCCAGTAGAACATTCTATTGGAAATATTCTTTGTGTACACTGTCCAATATGACATGGTAGCCACTTTCTACATGAGGCACTTTAGAGGTGCCTAGTTCAAATGAAAGACTGCCTTTTTAATTTCATTAACTTAAAAATCTTAACTTTGAATTGACACGTGGGTAGCCACACGTGCCAGGCAACTGCCATACTGGACAGCACATGAGGGAGCATGGCCCTGGCCACACCCGAATGCAGCACATCACGGTGTTTAAGAGCAGGGGCTGTGGACCTAGATTTTCCAGGCACAAGTACCCATTTTGCCACCTACTGGCTGTGTGACCTTGAGCAAGTTACTTTCCTTTTTGTGCCCCAGTTTTCACATCTGGAGGTAAGAATAAAATGAGTGAATCCATGTGGAGCACTTAGAACAGTGCCTGGCTTATGGTAAGAGACATGTAAGTGGTTATCAGCATTATTGCACCCAGGGATGGGAAGATGAAAAAACTCCGACATGCATTGATTTAATTTGATTCTCATAAGAGTTCCAGCTAGTGTGGTCCTCCCCTCCCATCCCTGTAACCCACTCTGTGCACCCAGCCCAGATACTGTTTTGCTGCGATGGCTCTCACCTACACCGCCACAGTCAGAGGACTGTTCTTGGGAATCGGAGTCTCTGAGCATAGGCAGAGCTACTATGCCTGGGAGTCCATGCCACAATGGGAACAGCCTGTAGTCACTAGTTGACCAGTGTGGGTGCAAAACACCCAGCTCCTCTGTCTCCAGACAAACTCCATCAGAGTCTGAGGGGTTGTTTGTGCCCCAAAGCTCCCCAAGGCTTGGGGCTGAGGCTGGGACTCCTGAAATTGCTCCCTTGCTTGACTCCACGCTGCCTTCCTTCCCTCACCCTCACTTTGGCTCTGCAGGCCATTCTCTACTCACTTTATAGGTGAGGAATTTGAAGCTCATGGAGAGAAGGGCTATTTCCAACATTGCGTGGTTTTAAGTGAGGCTGTAAAGCAGGGACCAGCATACATGTTCCTTCAAAGGCCGTGAGTTGATATTCTGGTGATCACAATGTGCTGCCTATAGGGATATTATTTTCTGCACCCACGAATACCTTATACACGTGGCTGGTGCACACCAGTGACAGATGGCATCCATTCTGACTGTACCAGTTGTTAATTGTTTTCAAGATTATCCCTGCTTCTACTCCACACCTTTACATGGCATAACATGTAGCTACGTATTTGGGGCAAAATGCAGACCACCCTAGAAGACCTGGGGCAGAGGGTTGGTGGGGCCCCTGCTCCTCTTTGCTCCCCGGAGACACAGCACTCAGGCTTCCCTCCTCCCCACACAGCTTTCCCTCAGGCTGGGTCTGTGGAACTGTCTCTGCATAAAGACTGTCTTCAGCACCAGGCTCATTTGCACAGTCATTGAAGAGTGGTTGAGGCCAATTAGGAACCAGGCACCGTGCTAGATGATAATGACACTCCAAGAGGTCAGGGAGCTTTCTCAAGGCCAAGCAGCCTGTAAGTGCAGAGCTGGGATCTGCATGGATATCTTTGGAGTCTCCATTTTGGAGGCACCCACCCTCCTTCCAAACAGGCTTTGCAGAAGATGAAACGTGCAATCTTCTGACCAACTGGTCCTGGATGTGTAACCCAGATCTCCACTGGGAACTTTTGCCCTTCAAAGATGTAAATGAGACTCAAACCCCTGCCAATCCCTGAGGAAGTCCAGAGCCCCTCCCCTGGGTTTCTGCAGAGTCCTGAGGGCTCACTGTCTCCAGACTGCTCAGGCATCCTGTGATGCCTCTGTTGAGCAAAGTGAGGACCTAGCTGTGAATCTCATCTTCTCTTTATGTTCCCCTCAGGTGAATCCACTTACACCAGGCATCAGTGAGCAATGGAAATTTGGTTGGAGGTTTGAGGGGAGACATTGAGGCATCATTGACAGGCACTGCAGGAATCACCACTCTCTAATGTAGATTTTCCATTTTGCCACGTGTAATTTCACTGCTGAGTTCATCTCAGTCTATCACCATCCTCCTGGCTCCTTGCTTCTCTTCCAGCCTCATTCTTCACTCTGTCCCTGGTCCCTTTCCTAGGGACAACTCCCTTCCTCTGAAGACCTGGCACCAGCGCCACACCTGGGCTAGGGGCAGTTGGTGGAGGGGAACAGGGCTCCTCTGTTACGTGGATCTCCCAGGCTTTTCTTCCACCCCAGTGCTGCTGGTTCTCTTCCTAAGGGAGCATCTTGTCAGTGATGCTCTCCACCTGTTTTCACACCTATGGTTATGGCTGTGAAGGGAGAAACGGAGGAATCACACAGCTATTTGCCCTTGGATCCACCACTTCCTGGGATCCACATTCCACAAGCTGTTGTCCCAGCTCTAAACACAGAGCAACAGTCTCTACCCGCTGGTCCTGCCTTATTGATTGCTCATCAACAAAACCCTGACCTGAGCTCCCAGACTCAACACAGACCTTCATTCCTCCTTTAGGACATTCCAGACCACCCTCTACTCTTCCATCTCACTTTGAGAAAATTTTCTATTTGTGCTGACGTGACAGTAAACGGAGACAGCTATTCTACAAGTCCTCATTCTTCAGCTGGCTAAACAGAACTTTTGGCAATTAAAACATTTCTGGGCTGATGCTGCTGCAGATATGACAAACTGATGCTTGGAATCAAGGCAATGCTTTGGGATTTAGTTGAGATAGATGAGGAGCTCATGAACACGGATGGAGGCAGAGCTGTGGGCCATCATTCAACCGGATTCTAAATTTAAGAATAATTGAGTCCTTATTTGCTGGCCAACACTTTAGGGGTTTGTAAATACATTATGAGGGAAGGAAAATGATGATGGCGATGATGATGGTGATAATGATGATAATGGCCATTGCATTGTTAACAACAGCAGGTAGTATGTTTCCTGTTGTGCAGACATAGATACTGGGTATCTCATTTAATATGCAAAATAACTCTTAAAGGGAGGAAGCCGGCGAGTTTAGGCTTAAACTCATTGCTTCAAAGGAGTCTCCAAACCAGTTCCCTAATCTATGATCCAGTAAGCTTCCCTGTCAAAGTCTCTCTCTCTCTCTTTTTTTTTTAATTTTTAATTTTTTTTTTTTTTTGAGATGGAGTCTCACTGTGTCACCCAGGCTGGAGTACAGTGGCGCGTGATCTCAGCTCACTGTAACCTCCGCCTCCATTCAAGCAATTCTGCCTCAGCCTCCTGAGTAGCTGGGATTACAGGCATGTAACACCACACCCCGCTAATTTTTGTATTTTTAATAGAGACAGGGTTTCACCAAGTTGGCCAGGCTGGTCTTGAACTCCTGACCTTGTGATGCCCCCTCCTCGGCCTCCCAAAGTGCTAGGATTACAGGCTTAAGCCATTGTGCTGAGCCCAAAGTCTCTTTTCACAAGCGTTCCCTCCACAAGGTGCATATTTTGATATATTTTGCCCACTGTATATGATAGCATGTAAAGATAGCATGTTATTATTAGCTTCATCTTCTAGATAAGGAAATTGAGGCAAAGGGAAATCCATTCATTTGGCCCAGGCTTCACAAGTGGGAGGTGGTGGACCCCATGGCCACCGTGTATGTCTGTGCATGTTTTTCACAGCTCAATGATGCCTGGCCCAGGAGTCTGAAATCCGGCCACCAATCTGGTTAACAAGTCATGGATGCTAGTATGAGGCTGAGTTTGTTGGGAGGAACAAATCCTTTATCAAATTCATTAAAAGATATGACCTTTTCACCAAGCTGTGGGCCCACTGGACTTTTATCTGTCTAGAGGAGTTGCCTTATTTGATTTGCACCAAAACTTGGTATAGGACAGTGGCTCCTGAAGAACCAGTATTCAAACCCTGCAGCCTGATTTCAGAATCTGTTCTCTGACCTCACAAAGCAGGGGAAAACAGTATCTGTTCCTTGTCAAAGGCTCCTTTTACTAGTGTTTCCTCCACAAAGTACACATTTTGGTATATTTTGCCCATTGTTTATGATAGCATGTAAAGAACCATTATTTCTGTGGCCTCAACAAACGGGGGTTTGCCTTTTTCATGCAATAAGGAGTCCAGAGTTGGTGGTTTAGAGTACGTACAAAGTCTTTAAGAACCCATATTCTGGGCCGGGTGCGGTGGCTCATGCCTGTAATCCCAGTACTTCAGGAGGCCGAGGCGGGTGGATCACCTGAGGTCAGGAGTTCAAGACCAGCCTGGCCAACATGGTAAAACCCCATCTCTACTAAAAATACAAAAGATTAGCTGGGCGTGATGGCAGGCGCCTGTAATCCCAGCTACTTGGGAGACTGAGGCAGGGGAATCGCTCAAATCCGGGAGGTGGAAGTTGCAGTGAGCCGAGATCGCACCACTGCACTTCAGCCTGGGCAACAAGAGCGAAACTCCATCTCAAAAGAAAAGAAAACAAAACAAAACAAAACAAAAAAACCCATGTTCCATCCACCACCCTGACTTTGTTAGGATGTGGCTTTCAACCTCAAGATGTCTGCTGCACAGTCAAACTTCACATGTGAATTTCAGGCAGAAAACATTGGGAAAAAAGCCAAGAAAAAAAAAGGAGTGATCCAGTTAAGTTGGTCTTTTTATATGAGGAAAATTATAGCTCTCTCAGAAGCTCTACTCTTAAATCTTATTGTCTAGAACTGGGTCCCATGGCCACTCCTAGTTGCAGAGGAGTTTGGGAAGTATTTTTAACTAGGCATGTGACTACAGGCTAGACAAAGCTGGGATTCTCTTAGCAAGAAAAAAAGGAGACTAGATCTCATGGACTGGTCACATCCAACAAGTAAACTGCATGTATAAAGTAATATTTAACTTGTTCTTCCGCTTTTATGAGTCAAAAACACAACTTCTTAGAGGAGCATTTTTGTTGACAAGTAATATCTAGATCTATTGCCCGCTACCTTTAGGAGACTGTGCAGTATACACAGGGTCAGGAAGCTGAGCTGCTCTTCCACAGTCGTCTTCACACTCACAAGTTCCAGCTTCTGCTTGGGTCCAGTGCTGCCTTCCCTCCCATGTCCTTGACACCTGGTTGGTCCCCAGTCACCATATCTCCTTCCTACCTCTTTGGCTTTGCCATACTTGGGCTTTATAGCTCCTGACTCCTCCACACTTTCTACCACAAAGATACTAGGGGCCGGGATTGCAGCCAGAGGTCCTGCCCACTGCCCGCTAGCTGCTGTGCCTGCTGCACAGCCAGCTCTCCAGGTCCAGATGCAGGGCCTAGGGCCCTGGCTTGTTCCCAGCCCACCTATTTGATCATTGGCCATGGAAGATATGACAGCACAGCCTGTTATAGTTCCAGCCGAAAGTAGTCCCCTGGGTGTTTTAGCTAACCTGGGCAGTCTCGTTGAGAGTAAATATAGAGTTTTCATTAGGCCTTTGGAAATACTGGAAAATGGCTCATAGTTCTATATAATCCTTTTTAGCCCAGTGCTGTCTAATAGAACTTTCCATGATGGGGAAAATGCTCTCTCTATCTGTGCTATCCAATACAGTGGCTACTGGCCACATGAGATTACTGAGAGCTTTAAACGTGGCTAGTGCAATTGAGGAGCTCAGTTTCTAATTTTATTTTATTTTCATTAATTTAAATTTATAATTAAATAGCCACATGAGGCTAGCAACTACCATACCGGATAGCACATCTCTAGAGGTTTTCTCTACGGACTCAAGGTCCTAAGAAGTGTAGGAAATGTGTAGGAAGCCAGCTACCTACACTGAGGTAGCTGGCTGAATCAAAAGACAAAACAAGGATGAAAACTGCACATACGAAATAATGAGATGGTAAATAGGCCAAAGGGCATCCATTGACTCTAAGGCCATAATGGTGACCATTTGTTGAATATTTAGTCTGTGCCAGGGATTTAATTTATAATTTTTGTGGGTATATAGTAGGTGTATATATTTTTGGGGTACATGAGATGTTTTGATACAGGCATGCAAACAGTAATAATCACATCATGTAAAAAGGGGTATCCATCCCCTCAAACATTTATCCTTTGTGTTACAAACAATCCAATTTAAAATGTACAATCAAATTATTATTAACTATAGACACGCTGTTGTGCTATCAAACACTAGGTCTTATTCATTCTTTCTAATTATTATTTTTTTTTGGTACCCATTAACTATCCCCAAGGTACTCCAACCCTCCTACTACCCTTCCCAGCCTCTGGTAACCCTCCTCCTACTCCCTATCTCCATGAATTCAATTGTTTTAATTTTTAGATTCCACAAATACATGAGAACATGTGATGTTTGTCTTTCTGTGCCTTATTTCACTCAACCTAATGACCATGTTGTTGCAAATGACAGGATTTCAGTCTTTTTTATGGCTGAATACTACTCCATTGTGTATATGTACCATATTTTCTTTATCCATTCATCTCTTGATGGACACTTAGATTGCTTCCAAATTTTGGCTGTTGTGAACAGTGCTCCAATAGACATGGGAGTGCAGATATCTCTTCAGTATACAGATTTCCTTTCTTTCTTTTTTTTTTGGACAAATATACACATTTTTATTTTTAAAAATTTTCAAATTTTGTAAGATTTTTATAGATTTGAGGTACAAGTGCAGTGGTGTTACATGGACATATTGGGTAGTGGTGAAGTCTGGGCTTTTAGTATAGCCATCACCCAAATAATGTAGATTGTACCCAATAGGTAGTATTTAATCCCCCACACCCCTCCTACCCTCCCACTTTTCTCTTTTTTTTTATTATTATACTTTAAGTTCTAGGGTACATGTGCACAACATGCTGGTTTGTTACATAGGTATACATGTGCCATGTTGGTTTGCTGCACCCATCAACTCGTCATTTATATTAGGTATTTCTCCTAATGCTATTCCTCCCTCAGCCCCCCACCCCCCAACAGGCCCCGGTGTGTGATGTTCCCCTCCCCGTGTCCATGTGTTCTCATTGTTCAACTCCCACTCATGAGTGAGAACACGTGGTGTTTGGTTTTCTGTCCTTGCGATAGTTTGCTGAGAATGATGGTTTCCAGCATGTCCCTGCAAAGGACATGAACTCATCTTTTTTATGGCTGCATAGTATTCCATGGTGTATATGTGCCACATTTTCTTTATCCAGTCTATCATTGATGGACATTTGGGTTGGATTTCCTTTCTTTTAGGTATATACCCAGCAGTGGGATTGCTGGATCATATGGTACCTCTATTTTTACTTTTTTGAGTAATCTCCAAACTGTTCTCCATAGTGGTTGTATTAATTTATATCCCACCAACAGTGTACCAGAGTTCCCTTTTCTCTGCATCCTCACCAACATTTGTTATTGCCTGTCTTTTGGATGTAAGCCATTTTAATCAGGGTAAGATGATATCTGATTGTAGTTTTGATTTGCATTTCTTTGATGATCAGTGATGTTGAGCACTTTTCCATATGCCTGTTTGCCATTTGTATGTCTTCTTTTAGGAAATGTTTATTCAAATCTTTTGCCCATTTTTAATTGAATTATTAGATTTTTTTCCTATAGAGTTGTTTGGGTTCCTAATATATTCTGGTTATTAATCCCTTGTCAGGTGGATAGTTTGCGAATATTTTCTCCCGTTCTGTGGGTTGTCTCTTCACTTTGTTGATTGTTTTTGTTGCTGTGCAAAAGCTTTTTAAATTGACGAGATCCCATTTGTCCATTTTTGCTTTGGTTGCGTGTGCTTGTGAGGTATTATTCAAGAAATTTTTGCCCAGACCAATGTCCTGGAGAGTTTCTTTGGTGTTTTCTTTTAATTTAATTCATTACTTTATTTATTTAATTTATTGGGTTTTCTTCAGACAGAGTCTTGCTGGGTCACCCAGGCTGGAGTGCAATGGCGTGATCTCGGCTCACTGCAACCTCTGCCTCCCGGGTTCAAGCAATTCTCCTGCCTCATCTTCCTAAGTAGCTGCAATTACAGGCACCCACCACTACTCCTGGCTAACTTTTGTATTTTTAGTAGAGATGGGGTTTCACCATGTTGGCCAGGCTTGTCTTGAACTCCTGACCTCAGGTGATCCCTGATGCTATGTTGAATAACAGTGGTGAAAGTGGACATTCTTGTTGTGTTCCAGATATTAGAGGAAAAGCTTTCATTTTTTCCATTCAGTATGACACTAGCTGTGGGTCTGTCATATATGGCTTTTATTATGTTGAGGTATGTTCCTTCTATACTCAGTCTTTTAGAAGTTTTTAACATGATGCTGTTTAATGGGCTCAACAGCCAGGCAATAGCTGTTGTTATTCTCAGTTAACATATAAGAAAACTCCATCTTGGAAAGGATAGGCAACTTGCCCAGGTTACATGGTGCAGCCTTGATTCAAACCCAGGGCTGTCTGACCTGGAAGCCATGCAGGCTTCCTGCATTGTTCAGGCTTCCTTTCAAAGAACTTTCAATAGCTCACTCCATCTTTACATAGGGCCTTCAACAACTACGTTGTCACTGCCCTCCTTTCTTCTGGGTTATAAGAATATGGAAGGTTTTACTGAACACTTAAGGCTTTGCTATTGCCAAGTCCAAATATTAGAACTGTCACTCCCACAGAGGTTTATTTCAGCATGCACACACAGGTGCTCCTCTCTCTCGCGCGCGCACACACACGCACACAGATGGAAATATACGCTGCATAGACACAGATGCAGCTTGACTTTTCCCTTTCCACCCATCATAGACCTGCACCCACCCTTTTCCCTAGTGAGAGGATTCCTGTAGTTAACGGAGCATTTCAATACCCAGAACCAGTGATAGATCAGTGGCCAGTTAATCTGAAAGAGGCATAGATTTCCTAAATATTATCCTTTTTCCAGGCTCCTCCCTAGTTAATGGAAGTTTCCAAATGGAAAAGTGACTAAGGCCAGGAAAAACCAATCCCGGACTTCTGCTGACTTATGCTTTGGTGTCCACTGTCCCTGCATATCAGTAATTGGAAGGACAATTACAGGACATGCCCAGAATACCAATGATTGACAGGTGGCAGCTCCTAGGTCTGCAGGGTCTATATATGAACCCTGAAGAAAAACCTTTTAAAAGATGTCACATGGAAGTCTAATGTCTGAGTGTTCCCTGAGCAACAGAGTCCATGTCTCTGCCCTGTTCCCTTGGATGGTACAGTAGGCGAGGAATAACTGTGCAGTGATTGACGATAAAAATATACAGGCCTACCTCATTTTATTGTGCTTTTGTTTATTGCGTGTTGCAGATATTGTCTTTTTTACAAAGTTAAGGTTTGTGGCAACCCTGCATTGAGCAAGTCTATCTGCGCCATTTTTCCAACTGCATGTGCTCACTGTATGTCTCTTTGTCACATTTTGATAATTCTTGCAATATTTCAAACATTTTCATTATTATTATATCTGTTGTGGTAATCTGTGATCAATGGTCTTTGATGTTACTATTATAATTGTTTTAGAATACCGTGAACCATGCCCATATAATATGGCAGACCTTAACGATAAATGTTGTGTGTGTTCTGACCGCTCTGTCAATTGGCCATTACCCATCTCTCTCCCTCTTTTCATGCCTCCCTACTCCCTAGGACATAACAATATTGAAATTAGGCCAATTAATAACCCTACATTGGCTTCAGGTAAAAGGAAGACTCACATGCCACTCACTTTAAATCAAAAGCTAGAAATGATTATGTGCAGTGAGGAAGGCATGTAGAAAGCTGAGACTCGCTGAAAGCTAGGCTTTTTGCGCCAAAGTTAGCCAAGTTGTGAGCACAAAGGAAAAGTTCTTGAAAAAAATTAAAAGTGCTACTCTAGTAAACACATGAATGATAAGAAAGCAAAACAGCCTTATTGTTAGTATAGAGAAAATTTGAGTGGTCTGAACAGATGAAACTAGCCACAGCATTCCCTTAAGCCACAGCCTAATCCGTAGCTAGACCCTAACTCTTTTCAGTGCTATGAAGGTTGAGAGAGGTTAGGAAGCTGCAGAAGAAAAGTTTGAAGCTAGCAGAGGTGGGTTCATGCAGTTTAAGGAAAGAAGCCATGTGCATAACATCAAATTGTAAGGCTAGTGCTGATGTTGAAGCTGTAGCAAGTTACCCAGAAGATCTAGCTAAGACAATTAAGGCAGCCACACTAAACAATAGATTTTCCATGTACAATAGATGAAACAGCCTTCTATTGGAAGAAGATGCTATCTAGAACTTTCATAGCTAGAGAGGAAAAGTCAATGCTTGGTTTCACATCTTCAAAGGACAGGCTGATTCTCTTGTTAGGGGCTAATGCAGCTGATGACTTTAAAGCCAATGCTCATTTACCATTCTGAAAATCCTAGGACCCTTAAGAGTTATGCTAAATCTACTCTTCCTGTGCTCTAGAAATGGAACAACAAGGCCTGGATGAAAGCACATCTGTTTACAGCCTATTTCAAGCCCACTCTTGAGACCTGATGCTCAGAAAAAAAGATTCTTTTCAAAATATTACTGCTCATTAACAATGCACCTCATCATCCAAGCGCTCTAATGGAGACTCATAAGGGGATTAATGTTGTTTTCATGCCTGCTAACACAACATCCATTCTGCAGCCTATAGATCAGAAAGTAATTCTGACTTTAAAGTCTTATTATTAAAAAAATGCATTTTCTAAGGCTGTGGTTGCCATAGACAGCAATTCCTCTGATGGATCTGGGCAAAGTAAATTGAAAATTTTCTGGAAAGGATTCATCTTTCTTTAAAAACATTCATGATTCATGGGAGGAGATCAAAATATCAATGTTAACAGGAATGTGGAAGAACTTGATTCCAACCCTCATGGATGACTTTGAGAGTTTCAAGACTTTGGTGGAAGAAGTAACTGCAGATGTGTTGGAAACAGTAAGAGAACAGAATTAGAAGTGGAGCCTGAAGATGTGACTGAAATGTTTCAATCTCACGATAAATCCTTAAGGATGTGGAGTTGCTTCTTATGGACAAGCAAAGAAAGTGGTTTCTTGAGACGGAATGCACTCCTGGTGAAGACGCTGTGAACATCGTTGAACTGACAACAGTGACTTGGAATATTGTATACACTTAGTCAATAAAGCAGTGGCAGGATTTGAGAGCATTGACTCCAGTTTTGAAAGAAGTTCTCTTGTGACTAAAATGCTATCAAACAGCATCTCATGCTACAGAGAGCTCTTTTGTAAAAAAAAAAAAAAAAAAAAAGAAAAAAAGTCAATTGAGATGACAAACTTTATTGTTGTCTTATTTTAAGAAATTGCCACAGCCACCCCAGCCTTCAGCAACCACAACCCTGATCCGTCAGCAGGCATCAACATCCAGCCAAGATCCTCCACCAGCAAAAAGATAATGACTCACTGAAGGCCCATTAGCAGTTTTTGCAATAAAGTATTTTTTTTCTGAAACACAATTTATTGAACAACCTATATCTCTTTCCCCACCAATCTGAAATGCCACCATTATCATATTTCCCCATGTTTATTCAGGTTTGTCTTCAGACGCTTCCACTCTACTTGTTTATTCTTCTCTAAGCAAAAACACTGTTCTGTACCAATCATTGCTTTATATTAGGTTGTAATTTTCAGTTTCTGGCTGTTATTTTTTTTTTTTTTAATTTTACTTTAAGTTCTTGGATACATGTGCGGAACGTGCAGGTTTGTTACATAGGTATACGTGTGCCATGGTGGTTTGCTGCACCTATTAACCTGTCATCTAGGTTCCCTCTCCTTGGCCCCCACCCCCCCAACCCCCACAGGCCCCAGTGTGTGTTGCTGCCTTCCCTGTGTCCATGTGTTCTCATTGTTCAGCTCCTACTTATGAGTGAGAACATATGGTATTTGGTTTTCTGTTCCTGGGTTAGTTTGCTGAGGGTGATGGCTTCTAGTTTCATCCATGTCACTGCAAAAAACATGATCTCATTCTTTTTTATGGCTGCATAATATTCCATGGTGTATATGTGCCACATTTTCTTTTTTCAGTCTGTTCTTGATGGGCATTTGGGTTGGTTCCATGTCTTTGCTATTGTAAATAGTGCTGCAATAAACATACGTGTTCATGTGTCTTTATTAGCAGAACAATTTATATTCCTTTGGGTATATACCCAGTAATGAGATTGCTGGGTCAA